>NC_000016.10:64562500-64865530 GCF_000001405.40 Homo sapiens
TCTTGCAGCAAAGGGAGAAACTCTTGGTATGATAGGGGCTTCATGGACCCAGATTTTTACTACTAACAAGTGCTTTGGCTTTAGACAAGGTTAGGATGTACTCCTGGGACAATTTTTTTGTGTGTATTTCCTTGTCACTGCACTGCTCTGGGCAGGATGGCCATGAAGGAAAGTGTTAGCATAGGGAGGGAGAAAATATAAGAATTGGGGGAAAAAATGTGCTTTAATTCCTTCCAGGACTCCTAAACACACATCTATGACAACATCTCCAACTCTTGAGTTCTGGCTATATGGCCTAGATGAAACAAAAGGCATTGTTCAAGAGCTCTGATACATTCAATGATCTGAGTAGTGGTTTAATGTATAGTGAAGGAAGTTCCGTGGCTACATAGTGTGCACATGGGAGGCTGGTGGATGGATGTAGTTCAATTCCTAGTTGTCCCTCTTTCTGTGTCTTAGTTTTCTTCTCTGTTAAGGGGCAATGATCATGGTGGCTCTCACATGCTACTGAAGTGAGGATGTAATGATAGATGGTGGTGAAATACTTAGTAGAGGATCTGGCACACAATAAGTGCTTCATGAATGTTAAATCTTCCACTAGTGTTTGACATTCTCTTTTTCCCTCTCCCTCTCTCTCTTTTTTTTAAAAAAATCCATCTGGATCTTTAATATAAATTGAAATACCTCATCAGTATGGCTGTGATTATGGAAAAGCAGGGTGGAATAAATTATACGGTGTTCAATGAGATTCCATGTAAGAGAGAGAGGGAGAGAAAGGAAGAAAAGAAGAAGAAGAAGAAGAAGAAGAAGAGGAGGAGGAGGAAGAAGGAGGAGGAGGAGGTGGAGGAGGAGGGAAGAAGGGGGAGAAGGAGGAAGAGGAGGAAGGAGGAGGAGAAGAATAGCAAGAGGAAGAAGGAGAGTGAGGGGAAGAGGAGGAGGAGAAGAAGAAGGAGATGAAGAAGAAGAGGGAGAAGAACAAGAAGAAAAGAAGAAGAAGAAGAAGAAGAAGAAGAAGAAGAAGAAGAAGAAGAAGAAGAAGAAGAAAAGAGGAGGAGGAGGAAGAAGAAGAAAATTGGCCTGCCTTGTTCTTCTTTTCTATAATTGTACCCTACAGCAAAATTCCTTTTTTTCCTTCCACAGATATTTATTGAGTCAGTTCTATGTCCAGAACCTGTGACAAAGCCTTAATTTATAATGATAAATCTGCTAGTTTGTCTTTAAGAACCAATCTGAAACACAGCTACAAAAATGGACTGATAGGTATGATGAGGACACATAAGGAAGGCACATGAGCAATTCCTGGCCATTTGAGTTGCAAAACATAGTTGCAACTCAAATGGAGTCTGAGAATGATCGCCTTTCAGCCAGGTAAATGAGTAGGTGGCAGAAAATGAATTAGGTTTTATATGATTGGGTTTGCAAAGTTCAACAGAGAACACAACTTGCTTTGGAAGGATGGAAGTAGTATGATGCAGTGAAGACTGGAACACAAGAGTGATGAGTGCTTGGGGAACAAAGCAGTGGCCATCTCAGGAAGATCTTATGAGACAGAGATAGAAGCTTGGAGTTTATACTGACAGCAAGAGAAGGCTTTCAGAGAAATCACTCGGTCAAATTGCCTCTTAAATTTAATAGATAACTCTGGTGCTCTATGAAGAAGGGAGGATTATACAGAGAACAATTTGAAAATTATGATGAAGGTTTGGCATGGCCCACTCTTGGGACAAATGGTGGTTGGAAAAAAGTAAAGTATGTGAATTCGAGAGAAACCTATGAGACAAAGTCAATAGTATTCAAAATTATGTTGATCACAGAAGTTGAAAAGAAGGAAGAATGACAGATGACACAAAATATATACATATGTTTCTAAGACAAATTTAAGTACAGAAGAATTGATATATCATCTTTCTTTGGGGACCCATGAATAAGGAGAGTTGTTAAAAATAGAGTATTCAGATAGTAAACTCATTTTCAGCACATGTGGTTTAATGTTGGAGATATGTTTATTAAAAACAGTTTGTCTCTGATTATGGAATATCGTAAGTGGAAATCTTGAAATTCAAGTATAGGACTTGAGATCCGTTCCTTTTTTTTTTTTTTTTTTTCATTCTGTAATGTGTGTTTTTCTCCCAGAAATAGAATAAAACTATTTGTTTTATTCAGACTGATGGTTATCTCGATGTTTTAATGATCCTTGTAAATGCCTAGAAATTTCTCCAGATTAAACAAAGCTCTAGCTAAACAATCTTGCATACTCCTTACTTTAAGTGAGCGCTACATAAATACCAGTTCCTAAAATAATTTGCCATGTAAGGAGTCTTGACCTTACCCTGAAACCACAAAGGTAGGATTTTTTCTTCTTGTTTATTTGCAAACACTATCAAAATTTCTCTGAAAAGTGGAATTTTTAGTATTTGAAAATGCTTTGTTCAGGTATTTTACTTCGTTTATTTAAGTGTGGCTGAATAATACTTCTTTTGTCTTAGGAATAAATAACTCTGATCTTGCACTCTCCAAGGCCCATGAAACTTCTGAACACAGAATAAAGGAAATGGTTATTCATCAAGTTACCTAGGGGAAAGGAAAGAGATTGCCAGATTACCTCTCCAGTCTATGTTAACGCTGACTGTCCAAACTATGAACTTTTTAGCTATGTGCTATTCTTGTATTCAGAGGTCATTTTTATATAATGACCTCTAACTATTTGAAAACCAAATCTCAACCCATAGACTTTGTGGAGGATAGAGGTAAAAAATAATTCAAATAGCATTTGCTAAAATAAGAGCATGTTTTTTCTGATGATAGATATGCCATTTTCTTTCCCAAAATAAAGCCACTGAGTTCTGCCCTAGATTTTCCCAAAGCATATTCAACAAAGAACTCCTTAAGGCCCTACTGTGTGCCACACAGTGGAAGAATATAGAATTAAGTAATAGGGGTTTGATATGGTTGGGCTGTGTCCCCACCAAAATCTCACCTTGAATTGTAGTTCCCATAATCCCTATGTGTCATGGAAGGGACTGAGTGTGAGGTTATTGAATCATGGGGGCAATTACCCCCCCCATGCTGTTCTGGTGATAGTGAGTGAGTTCTCAGGAAATCTGATGGTTTTATAAAGGGCTTTTCCCATTTTGCTTGGCACTTCTTCCTGCTGCCCTGTGAAGAAGGTGCCTTTCTTCCCCTTCACCTTCTGCCATAATTGTAAGTTTCCTGAGGCCTTCCTAGCCATGCAGAACTGCGAGTTAATTATACCTGTTTTCTTTATAAATTATCCAGTCTCAATTATGTCTTTATTAGCAGCATTAGATTGGACTAATACAGTAAATTGTTACCAAGGGAGTGGGGCACTGCTATGAGGATACCCGAAAATGGGCAAACAATTTTGGAACTGGGTAACAGGAAGGGATTATAATAGTTTGGAGGGTTCAGAAGAAGATAGGAAAATATGGGAATGTTTGGAACATCCTAGAGACTTGTTGAATGGCTTGACCAAAATACTCATAGTGATATGGACAATGAAGTCCAGGCTGAGGTGGTCTCAGATGGAGATGAAAAACTTGTTCAGAACTGGAGCAAAGGTGACTCTTACTATTCTTTAGCAAAGAGACTAGTGGCATTTTGCCCCTGTCCTAGAGATTTGTGGGACTTTGAACTTGAGAGAGATGATTTAGGGTATCTGATGGAAGAAATTTGTAAGTGACAAAGCATTCAAGAGGAATCAGAGCATAAAAGTTTGGAAAATTGGCAGCCTAACAATACAATAGAAAAGAAAAACCCATTTTCTGGGAAGAAATTCAAGCCCACTGCAGAAATTTGCATAAGTAATGAGAAGTCAAATGTTAGTCTCCAAGACAATGGAGACAATGTCTCCAGGACATGTCAGAGACATTCTCAGCAGCCCCTCTCATCACAGGCCAGAGGCCTAGAAGGGAAAAATGGTTTCATGGGGAAGGCCCAGGTCTCCCATGCTCTGTGCAGCCTCAAGACATGGTGCCCTGAGTCCCAGGTGCTTCAGCTCCAGCCATAGCTAAAAGGGGCCAATATATAGCTTGGGCCATTGCTTTAGAGGGTTCAAGCCCCAAGCCTTGGCAGTTTCCATGTGGTGTTGAGCCTGTGGGTGCACATAAGTCAAGAATTGAGGTTTAGGAACCTCCACCTAGATTTCAAAGGATGTATGCAAATGCCTGGATGTCTAGGCAGAAGTCTGCTACAGGGTGCGGAGCCCTCATGGTGACCCTCTGCTAGGTCAGTGAGGAAGGAAAATGTGGGGTCAGAGCTCCCACACAGAGTCCCCACTGGGGCACTGCCTAGTGGATCTATGGGAAGTGAGTCACCATCCTCCAGACCCCAGAATGGTAGATCCATCCTCAGCTTGCACTGTGGGTGTGGAAAAGCCACACATACTGTAACTATTTGAAAAATAAATCTTAACCCATGGACTTTGTAGAGGATGGAGATGTTCAACACAAACACTAAACACCAGCCCATGAAAACAGCTGGGAGGGTGGCTCCCCCTGCAAACCCACAGGTGCAGAGCTGCCCAAGGCCATGGGAGCCCTCCTCTTGCATCAGCATGACCTGGGTGTGAGACATGGAGTCAAAGGAGATGATTTTGGAACTTTAGGGTTTAGTGACTGCCCCATTGGATTTCAGACTTGCATGGAGCCTGTAGCCCATTTGTTTTGGCCAGTTTTTCCCATTTGGAATGGGTGTATTTACCCAATGCCTGTAACCCCATTGTACCTAGGAAGTAACTAACTTGCTTTTGATTTTACAGGCTCATAGGCAGAAGTGACTAGTCTTGTCTCATTAGAAATGTTGGACTTGGACATTTGGATTAATGCTGGAATGAGCTAAGACTTTGGGGAACTGTTGGAAAGGCATGATTGTGTTTTCAAATGTGAGGACATGAGATTTGGGAGGGACCAGGGTGGAATGATATGGTTTGGCTGTGTCCCTACCCAAATCTCATCTTGAATTGCAGTTCCCTTAATCCCCATGTGTCACGGGAGGGAAGAGGTGGGAGCTAATTGAATCATGGGGGCGATTACCCCCATGCTGTTCTTGTGACAGTGAGTTCCCATGAAATCTGATGGTTTTATAAGGGGCTTTTCCCCCTTTGCTTTGGCACTTCTTCTTCCTGTTGCCCTGTGAAGAATTTGCCTTTCTTTCCCTTCAACTTCTGCCATGATTGTAAGTTCCAGAGGTCTTCCCAGCCATGCAGAATTGTGAGTAAATTAAACCTCATTTCTACATAAATTACCAAGTCTTGATAATTGTTCATAGTAGTGCAAGAGCAGACTAACACAGATTTCTAAAGAATTTTTATTTTATTTATTTTTTAAGTTAGTGCTGATGGTAGTGTGATAAGATTCTATTGCAGCACTTTTTGAAACTTAATAGAGATACTATATGTGAAAGAATAAAATCAGCAAGAGATATCATATGTGAAAATGCCCAGCATATTGTTTTGTACCTTATATTAATAATGTTAATAATAATAAACACTAATAGTTTGTGTAATAACATATATTGGAAACTGAACTGTGATGGTTAGTTTTATGTGTCAGTTGACTGGGCCATGAGGTGCTCATATATTTGGTTAGACATTGAATGTGTCTGTGAGAGTAACTCTGGATAAGAAGAACATTTGAGTCAGTAGACTAAGTAAAGAAGATTAACCCCTCTAACGCAGTGGACCTCATCCAATTAGTCAAAAACTTCAATATAACAAAAAGACCGACCTTCATCACTAGTAAGAAGGAACTCCTCTGCCTGACTACCTTTCAGCTGGGACATCTGTGGGGTTTTTTTGCTGTTTTGTTGTTGTTGTTTATTTGTTTTCCTGCCTTCAGACTCAAACTGAACCATTGTCTCTTTCTGGGTGTTGAATCTGCCCATCTTTGGACTGGAACCATGCCAATGTTTTTCCTGGTTCTCAGCCTTTTGAACTCAGACTGAACTATACCATCAGATTTCCTGGCCCTCCAGCTTACTGACTGCCTATCTTGGGACTTTACAGCATCTACATTATGTTAGCCAATATCTTATAATAAATCTCTTTCTCTTTATACATATACATCCTATTCATTCTGCTTCTTTGGAGAAATTGACTAATATGTTAATATATTATAAGTACTTGGCCAAACACTTCATAATTATTTAATTATTAAAATTGGCAGTAAGGTGTGTAATATTTTCCAAATTTATAGATGAGAAATCTGAAATGTAGGGTTTAAGTAATTTGTCCCAAGCCACATAATTGATTTTTAACTCATACTCAATGATTCAAATATTGCTGTGTTTGAACATTATGCTAGATATCTATTTATAAGCTGCAATACATATATGATATTTATCTTTAGCTTGTACTTGTTAAGTGACAAACTCTCTTCTGAATATGGCTCCCCTCAATATGCAGTGATTAAGTCTGTTTCCCAATTAGTGAACATTTTCAAATCCTAAAGCAATTGATGGCGTACTGTTTATAGACAAGAAGTAAGTTAAACACACACACACACACACACACACACACACACCCGAACCCACTAGGGCTGGTGAATGTGTCAAAAGATTTTCTTTAACATGCAAGTGTATTGAACAGTCAGACCATCAATATGAAATATTGTTGCGATATTGCTGAATGACATTGTCTATGTCAATATGAAACATTGTCGCAATATTGCTGAATGATATTGTCTATTCAAGCCCTTAGAAAAATTGACTAACACTGGTTAATACTTTTGTATGTTAGATAGATATAGATATCTAGATGATAGATAAATCGACTGATCAGCCTGTTTGCCTCTCCTTAGGAAACGTCCATGAGGCTTTCTAAGGGTAGTCAGCTTACTACAATTCCAGATGAAAACTATTCACACATGCATTCACTTATCCAATCAACATTGTTTGGGCCTTTCCACGTTGCAATCACGTTTCTAGACACTGAGACACAGCAAGTGGTGTGCTGGTAAGTGTTTAACAAACAGTTCTCCAGGAAAAACATATTTGTAGCTTTTGTTGATGCTTGTAGCTTAATACCACCTAAAATGACTGATTTTAATCTACTGGTGTGATGTCAGCCAGCACACAAAATTCCCAAAAGTTTAACAGTTCGCTCTCATGAGCTCATACAAGCCAGCTCCAGCACATGATTGACCCAGTGAGAACAAATCAGACAGGGTGATTCTCTTTGGAATGAACAGCCTGATAGTGAAAAAAATAAGAACATTTCTGAATAAGGAGGTAAGAAAATACCAGGTAGTAATAATTTATACAAGGTAGAAGGCATTGGAATGGTGACGATGAGAAGACATTCTCAGAACTGAAGACACTGAAAATTAATTTGGAAAAAGTGAACTTTTCTTGTTCTGAAAATAAATTATTGTAGTGTACTTCCAGAAAGCAATAATAGCTACTTGAGAGGTCCTATGACCCACTATAGTGTTCACAAAAAAAAAAAAAAGAAAGAAAAGACAAGACAGCCCCATCTGGTTGGATGAGGATTTCGCCCTTTTGCTCCAAGGGTACTTAATAGTTTCATTCTGGCTCTGTAGTTACTGATGTGTTTCTTCTTCTCTACTTCATAGTTCGTAAGTTCCTTGAAGGCATAGCTTAGTTGTGATTCAAGTGAGTTTACTCTTTTTCCTGATAGAACATTTGACAGACATCTCCTGGATAATGAAATGCAGATTTTTTCACATTTAGTACACGTATCACTAGGACTTGAGACTGTTTTTGGTGGTATCTAAACAGACATTGTTTTAAACAAAATTGTATCAGTGAAACTTTTGTCTTTTTTTCCTTTTAATTTGCCACTAACTAGCCCACAAAAAATCTTAATATGCTTGTAATAGTAACTTTTTAACCATTTTGATATTCCCTTATTTTATATAATACGAAGGAAGAATAAATTTTAGGCTCACATCTCTAAACAAGTAATCTAACTTGAGTTTAACAATAATGTTTTGCTTTTGTGGAATTTATGGTTTTATAGTTATGTTTCTGCTTAAGTCAATTTTGACCTTGCATACTAATTATAATGCTGACTTAATTTGATTTTAATGAAATATAAATACACTTATGAACCCATATAAAGAAAAAAATAAGTAAAAGATAGTTTACATCAATGTACAAAAATCATGAAGTTGGTGGGTGAATAAGTCAGGTTCAGAAAACTCTACAGATGACTAGATCATTTCTTCACAGGGTATTGGGTGCAACGCAAGTATACAATTTGAAAACGTCTTTGGTATTCACTTGTGAAGAGATCCATGCATTGGCTGCTACATTCAAGCTCTTTAATTTACACAAAAAGAAGACATGCTAAATAATTGAAGCGATTTGACCAAAGTAGCATGAGGAATTGAGTTCCAGCAGCATCATTCAAAATAGCAAGTCTGGCTTCCAGATCCAGAGCTCTTCTCTTCCCAACACATTGAGTTTACCTTCAAAAATGCCTTCTCCTTTTTCCTTTACTTCCCTTTATCCTAAAAATTGACTTAGCCAAACTAAGTTACTCTGGATCAGCAAATTATGTTTTGAACTGAACTGGAGAAAATTGGTTTGATGAAATGCCCATTGTAATTTATTTTCTATTTGTTGATGGAGAGAATTGTTAACCATTGTTGAGTATTGATTTCCGATAGCTGTTCACCCTGGAACCCATTACCTAGAGTTGGCTGTGTGAGAAGCAGCTGAATGGCAAGTCAGAGTATGTTTTTAGAAGTGGCTGGTCTTGTGGTTCAAACTGGATCCCATATTTTATATGGCTCTGTGCTTTCTTTGATGACTGTACATTGTCAATCATGTGATCCCTCTTTTTCCTGAGATTTAGCTATTCTTGTGCATGACAACTTATCAAAAGGGGAGCACACAAGGCTCTAAAGGTGAAATGTTTACTCCACATAGCCTATATTTTAGTCATACCATCACAAATACACTGTCCAAATGGGGTGGAAATCTGCCCATCTGATTCAGAGAAAGAGAGACAGAGAGAAAGAGAGAGACTTAAGATTGTTAATTCTCTTGTCCTTCATAATAAACTCAGTGGACAAAATCTCAGCTCAGAGCTCAGAGCTTTAATTTCAGTCCTTCTACACCTCAAATTTCAGATGCTGCCTATTTATTTTCCTGCCATTGTGCTTCAGTCTTTTTCACATCTACAGTGGATAGAGTAATACTTTCTATAAGTAATATATTGGAGATTTTAAGTTGCAAAATTGTATGGCAAATATGCAAATAACTTAAACCTGAAAAAATCACAAAGTAGACAATTTTTAGCTAAATGTCACCATAAGGAACCAACATTTCAACCAGAAGTAGACATAATAAAATAATTCTATAGCCAGATTGTACTTTCTCTTAGTACCTTAACACTATGTACTACTGGTAATGGCAGTGATGGTAGCAGAAGTAGAATTAGCAGTACTATAGATGAATGAACACAGCATCTAACATTTGTTTGTCATTACCATCAGTTATTATTAAGTATTACTAATTGATAATCCTGGCCCTGCCACATAGTAGCAGAGTCACTTTGTGTAATTTACATAATCTCTTTAAGCCTTAATTATTCATCTATAAAATGGGCATAATAATAGTACTGGCTGCATGAATGTGACTTGAGTATTGCATTAGTTAATAAATATATAAATAGAACAGTTCCGTCACATAGGAAGTTTCCAATAAATGGTAGCTTACCAATTAATAGGCTGAAGCAATATCTCTACTAATGAATTTTTGATGCATATTATTTTATTTCCTTATCTAACTGTTAAAAATCATAGTGACTATGTTAAAACAAAAACAAAAAAACCTTGGATTTAAACTCAAATGTGTCTGAGTGCAAGGCCTGAGGGCTAAATCTTGAGCTCTTCTGGTTTATGGGCTGCAAGTTATTCTCCTTGGCTCTAAGTCTATAAGACCAAGGAAGAATGATTGAAAGCAAGAGTGATGGTGCTCCACTGAACTTTATATGTGACATAATTAGTGATCTTGGGACACCTTATTTGAAAGCTGTGGGCCAATATTATAAGGAAAGACATATCTATGTTGACTACTCTGTAATTGAATGCTTCTAAAGTTGACCCATCGTTAATTTAAAGATCTGCTTGACAAAAAGAGAGCTCTGAGACAAGTCATACCATTTACAATAAGCATCATGCCAGAGGGCATAGTTCTGCATGAATTCCCTCAATGATTGGTCTGTAGTCCTCATTGTGCTTCCCATCCTCTTGCCGTATTAGGTCTTATTTTTATAGTTCTATAGTATGCTGTATTCTCCCATGGGTGCTAAAAAAACATGATTTCTATTGTTGGCATTGTAAGCTATAATCGTGTAATTGGAAACAGCTGTGCACACAAGAAATATAATTCAAAGCAGTTTAATTAATACGTCTTCATTGACAAATTCCACTCATAATACTGATAATATTGTATGATTCTATAATCAAAAAAGGGAGTTTCTGAATCCCGGCCATTTCCACATTATTTGGTCAAATTTTACTTTTATGAAGAAAACTGAAAAATATATATTGAGTATAATTTTATCTGATCTTCCAACTCTTTTCCTGACTTCTCGTTGCAATTCCCTTCTCTCCTCAAAACCAGAGGCTAACAAAATTATGCTTCAAAATTTGTCTTCATGGTGCAGTGGATGTTGTTGCATGCCCACCCATCCCCATTTCAAATCTGAGGTGCTCATTCCCCCATCTTCTGTATTGGTGCCACTCCTAAAATTGAGCTCAGCTGAAGACAATTGCCTTATCCAAGGCCATGGCCCCTTTTGATGGGCAGCCTGTACCCAATGACTGGTCAATTGTAAGGAAGTATAAAGGCTGTCTTTGCTTGTCTTCATGTGGTCCCACTCGGAAGGGTCATGCCAGTAGTGGGAAAGGCTGCAACCCTTGTTGCAACTGTATCACAGATCAATTCTCCCTCTTGCCAATCCAGCTTCCTTCACTCCCCTCTTGGCTCACTGCAAGCTCCCCTGCCCGGGTTCATGCCATTCCCCGGCCTCAGCCTCCAAGTAGCTGGGACTACAGGTGCCCTCCACTACGCCCAGCTAATTTTTTGTGTGTATTTTTGGTAAAGATGGGATTTCACCATGTTAGCCAGGACAGTCTCGATCTCCTGACCTTGTGATCCGCCCACCTCGGCCTCCCAAAGTGCTGGGATTACAGGCTTGAGCCACTGCTCCCGGCCACAGCATTTGTTTTTTGAGGAACTCAACCCAAGATAGGTTTTAGACTAATTTTTACTTTATATTATTGTCCTTGCCTTAGCTTTTTGACGCCTTTCTGTTTCTTTGCATCTCTGATGCTGACCCATTCTCTATTTACTGTTTGCTTTTTGACTCTACCTTTTAAAATCTGCCTTTGGTTCTCATGATTTCTTGTGGACTCAACATAGTAAATATTGTTTACAAAGGTCTTATTCTAAATCCAACCTATAAGTTTGTATCAAACCTGGACAGTGATTTACTTTAATGAATCAACTTCTTTCTACTAACATTTAAAACATACACATACATACATCATATCACACCCACTCCCACACAGTATATACACACCACAACATACATACATACACACACACACACACACACACACACATACACACACAGTGTCCTATGTGGTTGAGTATTGCAGCATGATTTATTAAAAAGAAATCTTGTCTGGAAATTTGAATAAATTAATTTTAGAAGATGGCATTTTAATTTTTAGAAAATAAATGACAAAACACATTATTTTTTATTAGGTGCATACTATATTCTAGATAACTGTCTCATACATATTAATTAATTTACTCTTTATCCCTAGCCCCTCAAATATATATCATTATTTTTTCCTATTTTACACATAAAAATATTGAGAAAGCTATCTTAAGTTGCCATATTTCACCAGAAGAAAAAGGCTATTCAGTATATTTTGACCTGTTTTTTTTAATGAGATGATTTAAACATGGTAGCAACAGATTTTTGTAAGTCATTTGTCTCAAAATGCTGTTAAACTATTTTAAATTCTATAAAAAAACATGATTAGCATACACTTTGCTGTAAAAAGTTCACATTATTGAAAACATATGCTTCTGAATGAACATTTGTCAAGTAAGCCTTTATGTTTTCGATCTTTTACAATGCAAAATATTTTTAATGGATGACAGTATATCTGCATCATAAACTTTGTCATTAGCTAATACTACAGTTCAAATTCAATTATAATTTCCAATCAACTATCTGAAGTTAAAATGCTTATTCAAATACCAGGGAGATTACTATTCTGCAATCCTTGACAACAGTAGTACTCCAATTTAATACTCTCACTTAAAGGAAAATTTATTTTGTTTAAACAATAACATAGAATTTTTGTATATCTGACTTTTTTATTTTAATGCAAACAGTTACATTAATTGTTACATCCCAAGTCTTAATACAGTACTATGAACATATTGGCTTTAGGTTGGATTTATACAGAAGTTGAGAAAATTTAATAAAAAATTTGTTATGTTTTAAGAGTCAGGGAAAAAGAAACATTAATGGAAATCAGAATTTCTCTTGTCAATATTCTAACCTTAGCAGTTTTCTTTTCATTTCAAGAAAATTCTATTCACCCCCAGAGATAACATTTTCTTCTGTAGTACCATAAGTGGCACTGATTTGGATAGTATGATCGACATTTCATCTATTCCCTGACAAGAGTGGCAGAGTCACATCTCAAGTGCCTTTTGATGGTGACAAAATTAGCTAATATCATTGCATTCTGTTTTACTTCAATGCTTTTAAAGATGTTTCCAATCTACACTTTGATGATGCATAGCCAAGGCAGTCACACACTGAATTTCTAGGTGAGGCTCTGATTTCACATATGCTTGCTTTTTGTTCTGGTATTCGTGAGACCACCGGTTTCAGTATTTGATGGAGTCAACTCCAGCAGTTATGCACACTTTATACCTAACTGAAATTCTGAAATGGAATTAGAAAGGAAATAAAGTGAAGGAAAAGGGTTTTTTTTAGAAATAAAAATGAGAAATTAACTAAGAATTAAAGTTATTGATGTTCTTATGGGGTGATCCAATGGTAAAAAAAATTATGGTCATGGGCTTGTAGATGAAATAATCCAGCCCTCATCATTATTAGAGGTAGGGAGTAATTTAGAAGGCTCAGGTATATTTCATAATTCCAAAGGTGTATATACTAAACAGCATGTGATAAAGCCTGAGTTCCACAGACTAAAGTGTGTGAAGATGTCCTTACCCAAAGTCATTAAGGAGCTGTAAGATGAATATGATGCTGTTGCCCAACCATGGACATATAGGCTAAGGGGAGTGTTGAATCAGAATACAAGTGGTACTTCTAATATCAAATAGATAAAACTACACTATTATGCATAGTGCCTGAAACAAATATTTTCCATGATTTAAGATAAATTTGAATGGAGTTATCTCTAGATAGTATTTCTACCTTTGTAACATGTATTAGTCTTGAGAACATCAAACTTAACAATCGAGACCAGATGGGTCAAAGGTAGATACTTACAGAGCCATTCACATTTTTTCTATCCTACATATTGTAGTATGTTATGGGTTGAATTGTGCCTTTTCAATACTTATTTCATGAAATCCTAACCTCTAGTACTTTAGAAAGTTACTTTATTTGGAAATAGGAAGTTTACAGAAGTAACAACATTTAAATGAGGTCATTAGGATGTACTCTAATCCAACATGACTGTTATCCTTATAAAAATGAGACATTTGAAAACAGAGACACAAATATAGGTACAAAAAGATGACCGTGTGAGCCTGAAGGTGGCCATCTACCAGTTAAGGATAGAGGCCTGGAACAGATCCTTCCTTTGCAGCCCTCTGAAGGAGCCAGCCCTGCTCAAACCTACATTTCAGACATTTTAGCCCCCAGACCTGTGAGATACTTGTTCAATCTATACAGTTCGCGTTCTTGTGGCATGGCAGCCCTAGCAAACTAATACACATGTTGGTACCAAAAAGTACAGTGCTGCTGCAACAAATACATAAATGTGCAGAAGTGACTTTAGGGCAGGATAATTGACAGAGGTTGAAAGAGTTTTGGCATATCACACATAAAAAGCCTAGGCTGACTTCAATAAACTATTGATAGAAATATGGATATTAAAGGGATGGTGATGAGGGCTCAGAAATAATGAAGTCAGAGCAGCTGAGCTCCATTAACGTGAGGAGCCAGGAAAACACGCAGGAACTAATTAGCCTTGCCCTGTTACTTTTCAGAACCACGCTCCCAATTCTTCAGTACGGGACATTACAGGGCAAGGTCCAACACAGTGTTTCCTCTCCCAGCTACCTCATGGGTGGAGTGGGGGATGGGAAGTGAAGGGGAGTAGTTCTTTGAGGGGTAATTTATAATGGCAGTTTCTTAGTGCTTAAAGCTCTTTATCATAAAGGGCATCTCTTACAAACCCATTAAGTACTTGGGACTTTCTTGATCCAGTATTTTTTGGTTTTCCTTATAAATATTACCTCGCGAAACAGATGAAACTCCTTAAGGAAAATGAATGCATACTCAAAAACAAGACATTTAGAACAATAACCATTTTAAAAGCAAATAAACATTCTGAATTAAATATTTCGTCAATATAAAAATAGTAGAGCGTATGGATAAAAATATTCAACTATGTTAAATTAAAAATTTTAGATGTTAGTAATATGAGGCAAGGACAGAAAAACATTAAAAGATAAATCTTACATGTAAAAATGTAATATCATAGATCAAAATATTAAAAACATATGTTGAATTGAGGGAATATCTTCTGAGAAATGTCTCAGAAAAAGGCGAGGCCAAAATATGTGTTAATTTTTCTTTTTTTGAGATGGAGTCTAGCTCTGTCACCCAAGCTGGAGTACAGTGGTGAGATCTCAGCTCACTGCGACCTCTGCCTACAGGGTTCAAGTGATTCTCCTATCTCAGCCTCCCAAGTAGCTGAAATTATAGGCATGTGCCACCAGGCATGGCTATTTTTTTTTTTTTTTTTTTGTATTTTTAGTAGAGACAGGGTTTCACCATATTGGCTAGGCTGACCTTAAACTCCTGACCTCAAGTGATACACCTGTCTCAGCCTCCTAAAGTGCTGGGATGACAGGCATAAGCCACTGAGCCCAGCCAAAATGTATTAATTTGAGAGAATATCTTCCGCAAAATCTCTCCAAAAGAAAATGTGAAGAATATATTAAAAGAAAACTTAGAGCTACAGAAACAGAAATATAAACTTTCTCATCCAAAGAATGTGATTCACAGAAAAAAAAGCATGGAGGAAAATTAAAATGAAGAAAAAGAAACATTTAAATAAATAATTGAATTACATTTTTAGAGTACTAATACTTAAGAAATAAAAGGCAACTCCGATTGAAATGTCTTGTCAAAAACCAAGGAAGTGATAAGGAAAATGCCCACACGTAGACATACTTCAGCGTGAAATTCAAGAATATTAAAAAAAATTATGCACATGTTAAAATTTTTTATAGAGAAAAATATCACATGCAAAACAGTAAGATTAAGGCTAAAATAATTTATAACAATATTGAACACAATAAATCAACAGATAATTATTTTCAACAAATTAAAGGAAAAGAAGGAATGTGTTAAGCCACATGGTCTTGCAATTGAAGTCATGTTAAAAATATTTACAGCCAGATAAAGCCTCAGAAGTCTTGTCACATGAAGACTGTGTATTAGTTCATTCTTGCACTGCTATAAAGAAATACCTAAGACTGGGTAATTTATAAAGAAAAAAAGTTTTAATTGGCTGATAGTTCTGCAGGCTGTTATAGGAAGTATAGCTGAGGAGGCCTCAGGGAACTTTCAATCATGATGGAAGGCCAAGGGGAAGCGACACATCTTACATGGCTAGAGAAAAAGGAAAAAAGAGTTGGGGGGAGGTGCTACACACTTTTACAAACCCGACCTCATAACTCACTATCAGGAAAACAGCACCAAAGGGGATATCCACACCTGTGATCAATCACCTCCCACCAAGCCCCTCTCCCAATACTGGGGATTACAATTTGACATGAGATTAGGGCAGAGAGACCCAAATTCAAATATCAGATTGCAACTGTCAAAAATATTTTATAAAATACTAAATTAAGATAACACAGAAATTTAAAAAATGCTGCCAGAGATATATGAACTGAAGATGCTCAAATAACTGAATAAAGTTTATAAACCAACACACATGGGGGAAACTGTATCTTTAATAAATAGACTAGAAAATAAATTAGTAATTTTTTTTGTAGGAAGAGTCAGATGATAAATATTTAAGTTTTAACAAGCATATAGACTATATACAACTTTTATTCATCTATTAAAATAAACAGTTTTTAAAAACAACTATAGTGTCTTTGTTGAAACTACTCAACCTCTGCCACAGTAACAAGAAAGTAATCATAGACAATTTTTAAATAAATTATCATAGCTATTTTGATAAGCCTTTACAAAAACTTACAGCAGTCCAGGGTTGACACAGGCTATTGGTTTCCTAATTTCTGGTCTCAAAGATGTCATCACAATGAGAGTTGAGAATGTGAGTATAACATGAAATCTTACATTGTTATAAAATTATTTTCTTATTAGTAGAGAGTGTGAATATCCATTTACATGTGATAAAATTAAGTAAGAAAAAATTTTACATATTGAAGTAATAAGTTTGTTTCAAATTATTAATAATTGAATATAAATGGACTAAGGAATGTACAATGAGTATAAATGGACTAAACTCAGAAGTTAAAAGAGAAAGATATTAGGAAAAAATATTGATATACAATATATATTAAATAAATAAATAAGAAAAACAGGGAAATCATAGCAAAGAATACTTGTAACTTTATTAATATCATATAAAATGAACTTCAGACAAATGTACAATATGTAAATATCATAATGTAACAAATATTCTGAACAATGCAATCAATAAGTTTAATAATATGAACATAGTAGTGCTTTCAATTTCTCAAGTTCTCATGTTTCCTTGAAATATTAACCAAAAAAAAAATGGTAACTTTCCCCCCAATTATCTATCACTGGATATTAAATCACTCAACTTCAAAGGTTAAAAGAACAATACTTTTATTATTATTATCTCTCATGATGCTATAGTTGGTACCTAGGGCTGGAACCATATAAAGGCTTACTCTTTAGCATTTGTGGCACTTGCATTGGGAAAATTCAACAACTGTAAGCCGGAACAATAATGACTCTATAAGCATCTCTATCTCCATGTAATCTTGCCATGTTGTATTTCTATCATGGAGGCTCAGAATAGCTGGACTCCTTTCCTGATAGCTCAAGTTCCAAAGGTTTGTGTCCACAGAGACAAACAGAGGCAGTCAGAAGTTGTATTGATGATTATGACGTAATCTTGAAAGTCACAAAGACTATGCCCTTTATGTTCTATTCTCCAAGGTAGTCACAAAGGCCTGCCAAGGTACACTTACAAGTGAAGTGTCAAAGAATTTATAAGCATGTTTTAAAAGCACTATAATGTTCTAGGTCACAAAATTTTAGTACATTTCATTGAATGGATAAACAAACTGATCTTGGAGCATGAATAATTAATATTTGAATAATTCATATATTCACAATATTAACATATTAGAAAAAATAACAATAATTTATTTTCAAATGATATAGAGAAAAAGTGCCTGATAAAATTAATTTATTATTAGTAGGGGAGGAGTGGCAGACAAAGCAAACCGCTTGGTAAAGGAAGAATTGAGCTTCCTTAATCTGATAAAGAAATAAAAAAAGAAATATGAAGATTAAGTGTAATCTCAAACAAAAAAGTATTAGGAATATTGCCTATAAAATTGGAAATGAGTCAGGGTGCCAGTATAATACTTGTATTTACCATTTATCAGTAGTTAAAGTAAAAAAAACTAGATGTTTGAGGTTGGGAAAAAAAACATGAAACTTTTAGTACAGGGGTTATTAAGAAATTATTTTTAGGCAGCCAGAAAGGGTGAAAGTACTCTGTGGAAATTTCCTTTAATAAAAAGCAGCCCCCAAACCATTTCTTCTCTAACAAAAAGCAGCCTGAAGTGTCAGGTATAGATATGCAGACTAGAAGCTTTTATATGTGAATGGCAGTAGCTGTACCTGGAAGCCAGGTACCATCAATGTGGCATCTCCCGCCTTCTTTTCCTTGTCACCACGTGTACAGGTGTCATGACACCCTCCAGGTAAAACCACATGTACTGGCATCATGGCAACCAGCCAGGTTGAAGCCATATTTGCATAATAAAAGACAAGGGTTCGAGAGCCAGTCTTTTCACGGGCTATGTAAATGGCGCACCTGGTCAAACCAATCTCCTGGGCCCTATGTAAATCAATTACCTCCTCCTCAAGCCTCTGTACAAAACCGATTGCATTCTGCTGCAAACCGGAGACCCTCTTTTGGGCAACCCACTGTCTCAGCATGAGGAAGCTTTTTCTGTATATATTCTTCTTTCTTTTTTTAAACTTTCTGCTCCTAAACCCACTCTTCATGTATGTCCGTGTCCTGAATTCTTTCTCAACTGAGACCAAGAACCACGATATCTACCCCAGACAACAACAGCCATTTCACTATAATTATTTACAGAAGATATGATTATTTATGTAGGGACTACAAGAGATATTCAGAGTAATTGTAAAAAGTAATAGGAAACGTGGATAGGGTAGGTGGGCATCATATTAACATACTGAAAGTGGTTGAATTTCTATCAAAGAGCCAGAAATGATTACAAAATACAACTATAAGACAGAATTTATGACAGTACCAGGGGGTATCAAATGGAAAATAAATATAGCAAAAAGGTATAATACCTCTATAGATGAATGTATAACATTGTATTAGGAGATGTTTCAAAAGACCTGAATAATTGAGAAAATAATACTATGTACATGGACAGGAAGTTTATAGCATAAAGGTCTCTATTTTACAGAATTAATCCCACAAATTCAGTGACATTTCAATTAAAATACAATATGGCTTTATGATGTTACTTGACTCTGAAGTGTAAATGGAGAAGTAAAATTACAATAATAGCAAGATGTTTCTAAAGAGGGTAAGGGATTGATCAGCATCAAGTAAATCTTTGCTACACCTTGGTAAGAATTTGGAGTACTGTATTTTGTAATTATTTTGCAATGAGTATGCATTTTGGGCTCACTTTGGGGTTGCAAGGAGTTATCTGATCTTTCTAGTTATTTTGTAAATGAGGCAAGAATAGAGAGAAAGTAACCAAAGACTCCAGCAATTACAGAGGCAATGGTGAGAACTGGTCAAATCTGACATAAAATTTTCAAGTGGGTTTACTGATGTTTTGGATATGAGATGTGAATAAAACAGAGGAAACAATCATATATTGTCAGTTTGGGTCCTGAGCAACTGGGTGAGTAATGATGTCATTTTTTGAAACAGAGAATGTTGGGAGAGGGCTGGAATTTGGAAAAGGATGAACCCTTCTCTTTGGCCATATTGAGATTTCTAGTAGATAAGAAACAAGAAACCAGGCAATTAGATATATGAACCTGGAACTTAGGGGAGAAGTAGGGGATAGGGTTTACATTTGAGAGTCACCGGGGTCCTGTTTATCAACCAGCTGTGCTAGTGCTGTACAGGCAGAAGGTGAGGTTCTAGCTCCTCTCTCTAGAACTGACCACCACCCCATCAAGTGCATGTATCTGTCAGGGCTTGCCTCTAGAGAACCCGAGAGAATAAAAAGGTATTAAATATCCAGATTATTAAAAATACAACCCTTTAGCCTAACAAACAACATTGTCTAATTTCTAGTGGGTTTGAATTAGAATTCTGCCATGAGGAAATGTCCATCCATAAAGTTTTGATATTTTGTTCTTTTGGTTACTTCCAAAACTTCCCTTAAAAATTGAGTCCTTATCCAACTTTATCTCTTTTGAAGAATGATGATCCGAAAAGCACAGGTTCGTTCTCAATTTAATTTACAATTTTGTTAGACTTAACACAGTTTTAAGTGGGATGATTTGTGCTCTCAATTAGCTGTGTCTAAAATATTCTTCTGCCACCAAAATGATTCCTAGAATATTTACGTTTAATATACTTTTTAATAGGTTCCAAATCACAGAATAGTAAATGTGTAAACTTCTTGGAAAATAAATAACATCACTAAAATGGAATATGTATACACTTTAATTGCATTATCTAATTTCTTTTAAATATGTTTTGGAAGAGAATGATGTTTAACCTAAAATTATACAGTGGTGCCTGCATCCCTGTATATAACAGGTTGTGTCTCAAATTTATCTTAAGAATATAGAAAAGCTGTTTAAAAAACAAACAAACAACAACAACTACAACAAAAACCTGTGAGGATTCTTTATAGTGCATAGTAATCCTGATACAGATATTTTTTAAATCTATATTTCTCACAGATTTTCTGCAGTTATGTTTACAAAGTATCACTAGTTCTATGCCCTTGGATAGATTTCATTTCTCAGCAGATCAGATTTCCACATACATAAATTTGGAAATGACAGTGTCTGCTTTTTTCAATTCTGTGTTAGTCATATAGGAGGGCTTGAGAATGGTGAGAAGAGCTGGGCGTGTTGGCTCATGCCTGTAATTCCAGCACTTTGGGAAGCCTAGGTGGGTGGATTGCTTGAGTCCAGGAGTTCGAGAGCAGCCTGGGCAAAGTGGCGAAACCCTGTCTCTACAAAAAAAAAAAAAAAAAAAAAAAAAAAATTAGCGAGGTGTGGTGGTGAATGCCTGTGGTCCCAACTCTTTAGGAGGCTGAGGTGGGAGAAATCACCTGAGCCCGGGAGGCAGAGGCTGCAGTGAGTCGCTATCTCACCACTGCATTCCATCCTGGGTGACAGTGTGAGACCCTATCTCACACACACACACACACACACACACACACACACACACACACACAAAGGAAGAGAGAGAGTGGTGAGAAGAGAAACTAGAAACTTATTCTCCCCAATACACACAGTGTTTAATATTGCATTAAGAGTATTTCTTAATAAATAATTCAGAAATTTATAGAAAGTGGGAGGCCTCCTAGCATAGGGATCACATCCAGCATACCTAATGTTGGCTTCCTTGATTCCTAATTGCTGAACAAGAGGGCTCCCAATGACCCTGATAATGGGACATCTTTGTAGTTCATCTTCAATTTCTGTTTTAGCCACAGTCTTTTCTTCACTTGGAACTTTCATCATCACCCAGGAAGCAATTATACAGGAACTTACTCCTCCTGCCTATTAAAACACATTCAGCAGTAGCTAAGCTATGTTTTGTGGAAAGAAGAGCAAGTCACTGTGCAGGTACCCTGGGATGTAGTGCTGCTTTAATACCATTGGTGAGCCAGAAAACTTTAGGCCATGAGGAGTTTGTTTGAAGTGTTTTAGTCCTTAAACAATAAACTTCAGGGAATTTGGCTCAAAGGTTTGAATAAATGCATGTTATGCAGAGTGAATAGTGAGGTACACAAAGGTCAATGTGAAGTGAGACTGTTGAGTCAATTTCCTCATGCTTATAATTATTGCTGGAAATTATTGTTGGGGTTGATAATAATTTGCAACTGACGTTAAGTTCAGTTATTTCTTCCATCTCCAGGTGAATATTCAGGTTTGTTCTTCATGGCACATGTATTTACGACTGGTGAAAAGTACCATTAAAGGTCAATAGATGTATTTGTATCAGTAAGGTAATTCCTGCCTAAGCTTCACATTTACTGTGAACAGGTAAATGGCTGAATAAATAAATGGCTGATTTTAATGCAAATGTAAATGAGTTTACATATATAACTAATTAATATTTTAATTAAACTAAAGGTTTTCCACAGTTTAGCAGTCACAGCTTCAATAAATGAAATCACTTAATTGGTGCGTGTCTATTTTTCTTTTAAATCTGCTTATGAGGACTTTAAAAAATATAAAGTGAAAAGAGATAATCATTTTATTGATTAAGGAGTAGGAAGTGTTTAGGAATTTCACTATATATTCTAAAGGGAGATGCTGGCATTAATGAATTCATTAGTTGTGCATATTTAATTACTCTTATACATCTTATTCAGATTCTAAAATTATTTTTCTGGTTATGATATAAGAAGTGTTTAAGGATTTCAGGATATATCTTAAGAAGTGGCATTGGCATAAATAGAAGCAATATTTTTTAAAATCTTTATTGTTGTTCTAAAATGATGCTAATCTAATGTAAAGTTATGAACAGAAAAAATAGAAAGCAGAAATAAAAACACTACAACTGAATTCCCCAGGGAGAACTCTACATGAATTAGTGCATCGTCCAAAGGTCTTCATTTGTGTCTGTGTCAGTCTGTTTTTTCCTGTCAGTCTGTCTTTTCCTGTCAGTCTGTCAGTATCTGACACTCTGCTGCCTTCCCCTCTTCTGTATCTCACTTTGCATGTCTTATCTACCTAACTGCCTGACCCTGTGTCTTTCTTTCTTGCTTTCGTTCTCTGCCCCTTTCTCTTTCTCCTTTAAATGTATGTTTATGTGTGCAAGTAAAGTTACAATTATATATATTTTAGCAACTTTCATTTTTTATTTAACGATATTGCATAGACCTATGTAAAATATTACTGAAAGTATTTCCACCTTTATCCATGGGAGATTTAAACAGCTGTAGTGGATGTCTGAAACCTCGAACCTTATATATACGGTGCTTCTTCATATATATACATAAGATGTTAAAGTTTAATTTATAAATTACACGTGGGAAGAGATCAATAACAATAATGATAAAATATAACAATTATAACAATATACTGTAGTCAAAATTACGTGAATGTGGCCTCTCGCTCTCTTTCAAAATATCTTATTGTACTGGACTCACCTATTTTTAGACCTCAGTTGACTCCAAGTAACTTAAATTGTGGAAAGCAAAATTGCAGATAAGAGGGGACCACTGTGTATGTAAATTACCACTAGAAATTGAACAAGTGCTGACTATTTTAGAAAAGACATGTGTATCACCAAAGTATTATATACACATATAGAAAGTGATAGAAAACATATGAGGACTGCACACCTCAGCACTTTATCAAATGCAAAGATTTTCTACTGACAATTCAGACATTGTAAGTAATCACAAGAAAATATGGAATTGATAGTTTCTGAATGCCCCAACCCAACATGCATGCCACTGCATCTCATTGTAGTTGTATTAATAATAGGGTGTTTTCCTAATTATTAGGAGAATTGAGAATCTTCTAACACATACTACTATTCAATTGTCATCTTCCATGAATTCCTTTTTTATTTACAACACTATTTTTTAAAATTTCTTTCTATAATGATTTTTACAGACAATTGTTGATTACATTTACCAAATAATATTGATGGTTTTTGTCATTGGTGCTTTAAAGGGAGGCCTTATGGGTGCTAAATTCTATTTCTCCTCCTCTTCCTCCTCCTTTTTCACCTTCTTCATCTTTTGTCTCCATCTTCTTTCTCTTCTCCTCCTCCTCTTACTCCTTTTCTGCTCCCCCTTCTTCTCAGAAGTTCCCTAATATTACCTTCATTTTTTCTTGCACCTTACATTTTAACTTATCTTTGTATTCTGCAGTTTTATTAGCATGCATTTGGATGCACACAATATAGTATTCATCCTCTTTAGACTCATAGTGTCATTTCAATTCAATCATGCATGTTTTTCTTCATTTCTGAAAAAAAATGAACTTTTCAAATATTACACCTTTTAATTTCCTCTCTTCTTTTCTAAAACAATGTAATTCTGTAGTGACATCTCAATGTCTCCTCCATGTGTGTTTAATTTCAGTCCTGCATAGTGGACTCTGTATTTTCTTTTCACTAATTCTATCCTCTGCTCTGTGCAATATTAACGTTGTTTTTGCCTTTTATTTCAATTGCTGTATTCAACATTTATAGCCTTTTGTTTTTGTCTTTTTCATGTCTTCATATATTCTTGTTCTTTTGTGTTGTTCTTTTGTGGTTTCTTTTTTTTTAATTAAATGTTAATTACCTCTCTCTCTGAAGATTTGGGACTTCATTAATTTTAAATTATTTTGTTTTTCTGTCAGTTTCCATTTTTTGATGGATTCGTTTCCTCGTGTATTTAATGCTTGCGATTCTTTACATATGTTGACTTAATATTTGTGATTCTTTATGTTAGTATGGTTTATATTTTATGTAGGCTTATGTTGACTAAGACTCAATCCATTTTTCTCTCTCTCTCTGTCTCTCTCTATCTCTCTTTCTATCCTCATTATCACCTAGGGGTTTTGTCAGGGCAACCGTCTTCCTCCTTCCCCCTCCCCTTTATGACAGTCCTGCTTCTGAGGTCAGAAT
Source organism: Homo sapiens (assembly GCF_000001405.40). NCBI lineage: Eukaryota > Metazoa > Chordata > Mammalia > Primates > Hominidae > Homo > Homo sapiens. The sequence continues at coordinate 64,586,842 of NC_000016.10, forward strand.
CTTGGCATTTTCACCCCTCTTTGATAATGGGGATGTGACGTAGGCTGTCACTCTGCCCATGTGGATTGATCAGTTCCTGGCTGTGAGGCTGCTTGTGCTTTCCATCCTCTTTTTTTCTACATTACATAAGCCAAAGCTGCAGCAAATTGCAGCTTTCATCAGCATCTGTTCAGGGTCAGAGATGAGCCTTTCCAGCCTGTGGTCTCAAGCCATAAAGTCTGACTCCAAACCCAGCCATGTGTTGGTCACTTTATTCCCTATTGCTTGACAAAAACGAACAGTCCCTGCCACAAATGTTTGCTTCTGAACCAGGAGCCATGCAAGACCCCAGAATTAGCTCTGCTTGCCTTATTACATTTCTTGCTTTTCTGCCTTTCTGTTCTAATCTGCTCTGTGGAAGTGGTTTCTGTTTTTTCTCTTGTTGAGTGCTACAATGTCTTTTCAGATTTCTATTTTATAGTTTATATAAAATTGCTAGGATGTGTTTAGTGCTGGCTGCAGTATGGGGATTTAAAATCTGAATTTAGAATGTTTTTCTGGCTGTAATTTAGGAATGCCCTTTGAATGCACTTATAATAATGTCATTGCTTCCATTATTTTTCTGTTGCTTTTCTGTTGTTTCACTTAAGTATTTGAAGTGAAACTTTCTACATTAAAAATAGTAAAGGTTTCTTTGCTGTGTGTGTTTTATCCTAACTATATCTTATGTAAAAGGATTTAAAGACATGCAGCTTTTAAAATTTTTAAATGATTTTAATGTTGTCAGACATCAATTTTTACTTTTATAATTTATTGGCTTGATGATTTGCATCGAAAAACTTATTTGCAGGAAAATAAGAAGATAAGACTTCTAGTTTGTTTGTTTAAATATTTTTTGTCTCTATAGTTTATTTTGATAAATAAAAGAGTGACATAGGAATCTCTGTCTCCCCATGAGGGTTTACCAGTATACCAACATAATTTTTAGTAATTTATTATTTCTCCCTTTTTTTAAGTGAGAAATTGCATTTTCTCATGTGCTAAGTTTGCATACATATTTGTTGAATTTTTGGACCTCATTATCTTCCTTCAATTGATCTATCATGTATTTTATGTGCTATAGATTTATAATTTATTAAAATATTTAAAAGATGTGGTAATGCCTTTTTATTCTGTTCCTTCATTCTTTTTTTTCTTCCTAGCTAGTTCCACAATTTTGGCCTTTTAAATAAATTTCTGTGCCAGAGCTCTTACACAAACATATATGAATTTAACTTATAAACATTTATTGTAACTGACTTGAAAACAAAACAAAAGGCAAAGAAAGAGTTTCAGTCAATCATGAACAGTCAAATAACTACAAAAAGAAACCTCCCATCAGATCATAGCCAAATAGGGCAAATGCCTCATGACACTATATTCAAATAAGGGAAAAGCCTAGCTATAGTCAATCAAATAATTCCTTTCCTTTGCTTCCATGTTCAGCCTACTAAAGCTCACTGCTTATGTTGCTGGGACAAAGCTCTCTGAACTTCTTCTGGTTCTGAGTGCTGCCCAATTCATGAGTTGTTCCTTACTCAAATAAACTGTTGAATGTATTTTTCTAAAGTTTTTCTTTTAATAAAATTCATGACAAATTCATTTAACGTACATATCAACGTAAGAATTCGTAAGTTGAGTATTCTTGTAAAGATTTTAGATCTCTCTGTACCCAATCTAATCTTTATGCTCTTCATTACATAAAGACTATATGCATTTCTTGAGGTTCATGATTAATTATTGAAAGATCTTTATCATTATGAGGATTTCATTTCTTCTTTTATATTTTTAGCCAGCTGTGATTTATGCATAAAGAAACCATTGATTTATTTCACTCATTTAATAGTTGACAACATCAGTGCATTCTCTTAATATTTCAATTTTAAAAAAATTTATTACCCATGGATTTTCTAATAATACATTTCTATAATTTCAAAATGATTATAAACTTGCCCACTTTTTTTCCAAAATATGCCAATTAGATTTCTTTCTCTTTCCTATATTCTTCTGTAGTCCTTTCAAAATAGTGTTTAACACTGTGGTTATTATGAACACTTGCATCTTTATTTTTACCATAATAAAATAATATTTTAACATTTCACAATCATACGTGATGCTAATTATTGACCTTTAAATTTTTAAAAATGTCTTAATTCCTATTAAGATGACTATATTATAAAATCTACCAAAACCACATCATTCTTATAGTTTTGAATTAAACCTCAATTGGCCATGATATATTACTCTATAATGGAATTCAATATGCTAACAGTTTATTTTTCATTTCCTGTTCAGAGATGAGATTGGAATCTAGTGTTTTTACTTTTGTGTTATATTTAGCAGGTATTGGTGTTTGTGAGAATACACCATTTGAGAAATATTATTTCTGCTGCCCTACATGGGAATAGAGTTTAATTTTGAAAATGACTTTATTCAGAATGAAATTATACAAAATTGAGACCCACTGGTTTGATTTTAGAGTTATTCATGAAATAATTCCAAATAAATGTAGAATGTGAGGGAAAAGGAAATTGCTGCACAGAAAAACTTTATTTAATTATAACTCAATAACAAATATTTACTATGAATGTTTTATATACCAAATTCTGGGATATGGGAATTGAAAAAAAGTAGTATTTTTGGAAGACAGTTCCAGCTTCAAGAAGCTTACATTCTAGTGAGGGGCAGTGAGAGTAAACAAATAGACTAATATCACTATTTTAAAGTTACTGTATTTATATATAAACTCTTATGATAGAAAATGAGCCAAGTAAGGTGAGTCAAAGTGAATGAAAGGTGAAAAATGAAGGATGACCTCTATTAAGCTGTTAAGGAGAGGCCTCCAGAGATGATATTTGAGCTGATATATCCAAAGCACAAAACAAAATTACTCAAATGGTATTTTTATGAAATACAAAGGACAAATGTGGCACTTAAAATTATCTCTCCTTTCTGTCTTTGGCACACACAGTAAATTTTAAGTTTCTTTGGTAATAAATATCTAAAAAGATTTTCATGTATGAGACGCAAAGATATGAATCTTTCTGGTATTTACACCCTAATCTGTGCATGCAAGAAGAGGAAGCCATCAGAGTGAATCCCTTGGCAAAGTTTACACATATTTCAGCAATGCAGCTATGACTCAATATATTTAGAGACTCGTCTCTGGATATTACTCCCACAGCTTATGAGACATAAGAAATTGTGCTTCGCTATTTTGTATTCATACTGGATTGGGACTGCACATTAGCTTGACAACAAGCCCAATTTGCCAGTCTTGGCTCTGAGTGACTAATTTTAGATGTTCACAAATGTTAGCGATGTTGCATCCAAACAATAATAGTTTACATAATTGTTCTGGCACCACGGTATAAAATAGGATGCCTCTTCCCACTCCAGGTACCAAAAGAATGATTTGTAAAAGCTTTTAGGAATACCTCAGTAAGGAATCTTCCCCTCGAAAATTAAAAAAAATAATAAAATAATTCTAATTATAAGCTCCTGAAGGGAAGAGTTTGTGTTTTCTCATACATTTTTTAACTGTTAGTTTTAACCTGGCCTATTGTTTGGAGTTCTCAGTAAATGTGTGTTCAGTGAATGAAATATATCTAATTCTATGTTTAATAGCAATTGAAGAATTTGTTGAGAAGCTACTGTACCCTACAGAGTAAGCTTTGTTTAATATACTGCAGGGTAATCTAATGAATACATATTTATTCAAATTACAAATAAAGCAATTTAGGACTACAGGGAGAGAGGTCTGGTTGTTAACTATCTGAATATTGCAACCAGAATAGCATTGGTGAATTCCTTTGCTAGGAGGGGCATTGCAAGTGAGTCAACCAGTATTTAAAAAGCATTAATCATAGGTCTTGTTCTAGGAGTTGTGGATACAGCAATGAGTGCTAATAGGTCCTTGCCCTCAAGTAACTTCCTCATATTCTAATGTCCTCATAGTCTCATATTCTCTTTTCTCTCTTGTCCAATATCTACAGCTTTAAAAACATTTCCAATCTAGTCCTCTTTCTCTGCCTGATGTAATTACTTCTGCTTTTAAAAATAGATGGAATACTTTCAGGAATCTGAGTTGAAACATACTAAATATATAAATAATTGCAGAGATCTCATTTTCTTTTCCAGCTACTAATCATAGTTCAGTGTTTAATATAGAGAGATATTTTCAAGAGAACATAAAGTATTTACTGTCATTTATCTGTTGCTCAGACAATAGCATTCTTTTGTGGTACTGGAGCTTCTCGAAAGACAGAAAATCCTACCAAATGGATGATTTATGCAAACCCTCAGGGTGAAATGTCCTATGCACATACAATCTGTCAAAAAGTTCTGATGTGAGAGATTCTGATGACCTTAGTAGAGTCTGAAGAAAGGGACAACAGAGCTGAGAATTTTCTTCTAAGTAAAGATAACATGGAAGCTACTATTCCATAAGTCCCTCCTTTGTGGTTTCCTGGATCCCCCTCTCATATTCCTGTCCTGTTGTGGTAATCATTAGTGACAGCTTCTTGTGATAGTTCATTGTCTTGTGGTGATATTTCTTTTTAATTGATTCTTATTTATTACACATAGGCTTCAGAAATAATAAATCCTCAGTCAGGTAATACATTTTTGTTAGTAATGACAGTAACTAATAGAACAGTTCAACTCTCTTAAAATTAGCTTTCTGAAAACATCTGATTGTCTTGAGCAATAGTATCATCCATCATCCAAATACCCACCTATTCATTTATTTATTCTTCCTTTAAACAAATATTTGAATTCCTATCATGCATTGGAAATTGTGTTAATAGTTCAAGGTCCCCTACAGAATTGATTGTTCATTAATATGTTTTAAGAATTTTGAAAGGGAACAATCCAAATTTGTATGTGTACCTTTATGTACCTCATAAATAAATAAATTCTCTTCACTTTATCAAACTTACTTGCCTGTTGTGCTCTTCCACAATCCATTTTGCTAATGTGTCATGGGCTTGGACTGTTTTAAAATTTGTTCTTACAAGTATATTGTGCATTTGCATATGAAGGCAATTCCTTTCAAATTATCACTTACCATTATGGAAAGCAACAACCCAAGATGCATTCATGCAGAGAGTTTTTAGGAAATACATCTGTTTTGAGTCTCTTGAAACTGTTAGATATTGCTAGTGTGGCTTCTCAGATTTGCTTGCTAAATTAACCAGGTATAGTGATTAGAACAATAGACCGAGTGAAAAGTGTGTGGCAATTAATTTCCAGACATCTGGGAATCATCCACTAGTTTGCAAGCATCCTGAGGGAAGAAACACTGCCTTATTCAAAGGTATGTACTTCCAGGGCAGGTATGGTGCTGAAGATTATTTGTTGAATTGAAATATACTGAAGAAAATTACTATGTATCTCACTGGGTTTGTCTCTATGTAAAATGAAAACAGTATTCTCAATGGCCAGAAACATATTCTCTGATTGCCCTGCTGCCCAATCTGGCTTCTAATCACCTAAAGCCAGACCTTGAGTTTAAATGATTATGAAAAGAATTATAAGTGGCTATTCATTTACTTCCTTAGATAATGCCGAACATAATTATGTGTGGGAAATTTAATACACAAAATTGCATCCTTGAGTTTTCAGTTTTACATTCCCACTAGTTTTATTTCAGTTGTCATGCCCATGCCCTTTCCTCAGTGTTTTAGAGAAAACATCATGGAATCACAACAAAGAGAACCTTTTTTTTTTCTTAGAGGAAAATTGTTCTCATGCCCAAAGGTCCTAAGCCCAATGCAGATATAAATCATTTCAGGCTTGGAGAGCACAGACTTACTTTGATTTACTGATTTTTTCCCTCAATTCCCTTATAACCTTTCAGTGAGATTATACAAGTTCTTTTTTATTATATGCCATACTCAGGGAAAAGTCCTCTGTTTATGCAAACAATCTTTGTAAGACAAAATTATTTCCTCTCATTGCTTCACAAACTCACAAAAATGTAGCCTGATTTCAGAAGTCCAAACATTAAATTTCTTGAGCTCAGGTGTAAATTGGAATTAGAAAAGGTGTGAAGCAATATAACTAAATTTTTATACTAACAAAAGGAATTAAAAAGAAAAGAAAACTCAACTTCTCCATATTAACAAACTCATAACCATTCAGGTTGAATTCGACTTTGGGTTAATTGCACTTTTGAATGCACGCTTGATTATGAGAGATGCAAATTAGACATTTGTATTGTTCTGATTTTTGTACCTGGGGAGTATTCTGCTTGTATGAAAGAAGGTTCTGCTTGATGTTAAGTTTTTTGGAACTGTTCTAAAGCATCAGAATTTTTAGATTTGTGTGTATACTGCTCAACATGCAGGCAGGAAACAGCATGAAATGATTGCTTAATACTCTAATGTCTTTAAATTACAGTCTTTATAAAGCTGCTTCATTGAACTGGTAGTTTTTTTCATAATTTTATTAGACAAATTGGCTTACATTGAAAATGTATAGTATATTAAGTCCACAGAGCTAAAATAGTCAACTAGAGTTTGTACAATGATTATGAATATCCCAATATCTAATTTAAACTGTTATCATTATAAATAAATCATTGAAATACCCAAACAACTCATGTTTATTATTCAAATTATTATTTTTCTGTGCACTTGCCACATTATTTATTCATTTAATAACCAGAGCTTCTAGACCCATGCATGTTTTTATGAACAATCATAAAATGTTGCTTTGTGATATACAGAGCCAAAAATGTATTTCAAGGTTACCGTTTCTCAACAGCTAGTAGATCTTAATTACTAGTTGTGTGAAACAATGTCTTAGATATGCAAGTTTTTATTTTCAGAATTGCCTCATATGTATTCAGTGATACAGACTTCTAGCCAAGTGTTCTTATAGAAAGATGTAAATTAGTTTTTATGAGCATTACGGTAGAAGAAACTGATCTATATTTGCAGAACTTCTCAGTGACGAATAAAGCCTTGATGTGAGGAGCCTGTGCTATGGCAGTTTGTGTTTATTACACACGAATTATTCCATTGAATATATATTTATTTGTATTCATTGAATATGGACTACTTATCTACTAATAGTCAAGCACTGTTTGTTGTGGTCACATACATAATCACATTCAAATCTCACAACAACTGGGTTAGAAAGATGCTACTATTTCCAAATATAAACACAGCAGTTTATAGTGAAAAGGAGAATCTTCTTGGAGTCCAAAAACACATAGTTTTTAACTAGTATTATCACTTATAGCTTATACTGTATAACTTTGGAATTGGCAGTCGATGTCACTGAGCTGATTTATGTGAGGTTGATCACATCACCTCACACATGGGAAGTTCTGTGTAAAGGCATGAGAATGTTAATATTCAGGGTGTTTCAAATATAATTTTAGATGAAGTAGCCTAACAAATGCAGAACACTTTGGAGAATTTGTAGCATGTAGGAGAGTATCAATAAATGTTCGTTTCCTCCCCAACTTCTCCCCATCCATGGCAACCATTCAAAACCAGATGATGACTTGCTCAAAATCATACATCACGTGAGTGGCAAATCCACAACTACAACTTTTCATTCTAAGTTCAGAGCTTTGTTCAGTGGAATCAACTGCCTGCCTACTGTGGGACCATTGGTCTTTTATTTCAACATTTTAGGTTTAAATATTCTGTATCCCATCCATCCTTTTTGGATTGTGGCAGTGCCAAGGAATTGATCATTTTTAATATAAATACCATTTTTAGGAAATAGAAGAAGTTTCTCTCTACCTATCTGTGATAGTTAATTGTATATGTTAACTGGACTGAGCCACAGGATACCTAGATATTTGGTTAAATATTATTTTTGATGGGTGAGTGAGGGTGATTTTGGATGATTGAAATCTGTAGACTGAGTAAAGCAAATTGTACTTTCCAATGTGAGTGGACCTCCTTAAATCTGATAGATGCCTGAATAGAACAAAAGGTGAGGTAAGAGAGAATTTCCTCTCTCTGCCTGACTGCTTTTGAGCTGAGACATTGCTCTTTTCCTGGACTCAAACTGGAACTCATACCACCAACCCTCCTTGTTTTCAGGTCTTCAGACTCATACTGAAGCTATACCACAAGCCATCCTGGCTCTCCAGCTGGCACATAGAAAATTATAGTACTATACAGACTTCATAATTGCATGAGCCAATTCTTTATACATATATATGTATATGTATATATATATATATATATATATATATATATATATATATATATATATATATATATATATAAAACAATCTATTGGTTTTATTCTTTTCTGGAGAGTCCTGACTAATTATCTATCTATACAGCTATCTTTTCTATAAGCAGGGAAATTGTGTTGGAATAAAATAATTCCACTCAATTCTCTAAACATTTTTGAAATAATGATATTTATTAGACATTACTTCATATACGGCACCATATTCTGCACAATTGTTATAACAATGCCCTAAAGTCAATGAGATTCCTAATATCATAGAGTTTACATTTTCACTGAAAAGATAGCTTGTAATCAAATAACATACACTAAAATAATAATGCAAAGTAGCATAGGATAAGTTCCACAAGTGGAAATATAATGAGACATGAATATAAATATATTGGGGAGCTGACCTGGTCTGAGAATCCAGAAAGAATTCTTCTGGAAAAGACTTCTTCAGTGAGTTGTGTAAAGTAAGTAAGAATTAAGTAGACAAATTAGTTGGGCAGCAGGGGTCAAATGAAGCATAGGTTAAACATATATGAAGACCTAGAGGCATGGTAAACTATAGCTTGTTGGGGAAAAATAAAAAAGAAAACTAAAAGAAGGCTAACAGACTTGGATACTCAGGGGGCTGATGTGGGAAGATCACTTGAGGCCAGGAGTTCAAGGCTGCAATGAGCCATGATCATACCACTGCACTCCAGTCTGGAAGATGGAGCAAGACCCTATAAAAGACCCCTTGCAGAAGGGTAGGGTTTTCATTTAGTCTTGGTTTTGCCATTTTTCTTAACCATACAAATGAAGAGCTTTCATATTCTCCTACATCTTTACTGGAAAAGAAAGCATTTTTTACACTATTTTAAAAAATAGAGATATTTAACAAGATCTATTAGAAAGAGGTTGTGGCTGTGTGTCTGTCTTGTTTTTTGTTGTTGTTTGTTTATTGAGTTTCTTTTTGTGCATGTGAAAAGTGCTGCAGACACATTTTCTCATGTTTTGGCTCTCAGAATTATAAACTTGGATCAATCTGTTACTTTCTAAATTATAAAAGTTTAGTATTATCTGAAACATTTTTGTTTAAAATAAGGCCAAGGGCTAACAGGGTTTCTAAGTTTTTACAACTTACAGAGACATATTTTATGGCTAAATTTAAAGACCTGATTTAATAAAATTACTGAGTTCCAAAATCAGCCAGCTAAGGCATTTAAATGGGAGATATCAACTATTAGATATAAGCCTTGTTAGTCAAACCAACACAATTCAATAACTTTGCAATTTCATTTTTATCATCAATTATATCTTAATTTCTGGATGAAGTGATTAGCTAGCATGGAATGTTGGTTAGAAGAAAGATAATGAGGGTGACTGAGGGAAAAAATGGTCTCCTGAATTACATTATCAAAACATTAGAGAGTTCAAAAGGAAAATGAGAACACTTATTATTTTTGTCTGTTAGGCAATGTGATACTTTATGGACTTAAAACTATTTCAGAGGACTGTCAGTTTAAAGTTGAAACTTGCTGGTAGATTCCGAAAATACCTCTTGAATCATCTCAAAATAATACTTCAGAAAATTCTCCAAAGAAACCTAATAAAATCTAGACCATAACATTATGTACTAAAATGGAGAGCTGGCTATTCCTAAATTTGAGACGGTTGTCTGCATGTTGTAATGACAAGGCAGATTAAGCAAAAATAAAATTATCAACAGTAAGGATCTTCTCTCTACATTGTCAGATAATTCAGTAATCAACCAACATTAGGAGAGAAATAAAGGGACTTTGGTGAGACTAGGGGTTACTGATTGCCTAAGAAATACTTAGTGCACATGAATAAGACATTGTTGGGTGAGATGGATATAGAAAATATGCTTAATCTTTATTGTTTTCTGTTCTCTATTAGTTTGTACTCTACACGTTCAGAGGGTCAGTCAGAGAGTGGGGCAAAGGTTTTCTTTCCAGTCCCCAAAGGCAAGCAGATGAAAGGAGAATTTGCATCTTGTGCCTATTGGAAAAATATGAATCTGGATATATATTTCCTTATTCAACAAGAGTGAATAAAAGAACAAAACCCAACAAATAAAACTTGAAAAACAAGAGAAAAAAATTGTTACTCAGATGAATACGCTTTTGTAATGGATATACTGTAAACCAAAGAATTTTGTAGGAAGATGTTTGTCACTTTTAAGACAAGAAGACCACTTCTCCAAATTATCATACGATGTCACAAAAAATAATGACCCAGAAGAAAAGACAACATGATAGTTTACATTGGGAAAAGGAGAATTAATGATGCCTGAGCCACCTTTTCTTACCTTCCATGAAAATATCCATGTAACACAGGTGAACAAATGCACAGCTGTACTAATTTTGGAAGTTAGGAATGTCATGTCACTAGAATGAGTTTCTAGTAACCAAATTGTTAAGACACAATAGGGGCCCAGAGAGAAAAATGGTTAAGAGATTTTTATTATCTCCAGTTTGTACTTGAACCTAGATAATTAAAGTTCTAATTTGAAGGATTTGCTTCAAAGTAGCCCAATTTGCAGAATTTGCCTTCCAGGACAAGCTCATTTTATACATATATCCCTATTGCTTTCTGATATGTGAAGGTAGAGGCAGGGTACAAGGCTGAGACAGGGATTACCCAATAATGGTGCACATTGGTGGTTCTGAGCACTGAGTAAAAAAATATTTCAGGTGGACTCCCATTGTTCCTCATGCACGGTCAATAGAATATACAAAAGCAAGAGAAGGTCTTTTCTTGATCCAGGAAAGCTACATTTTAGAGATGAAAACTAGATACTCAGAAACTGGATGAGCTTTTGTGCATATGGAGGCAGAGGAAGATTATACTGGAGAACTTCTGTAACCTGAGAGAAAGCCGGGCCACTCCACCCATTCTGCTTAAGGACCTCCATAGAATAGGCACTCACTTAATTAAGGATCCATAACAAAATGTGGGAGGCAGGGTAGCATTAGACTTAGGAGAAACTTCTGCAGTCTAAAGGAAGAAAGTCTTTAAAGTCACAAAAGGCACAACTTTGATGAAAATTTACTATACAAATATTAATGAATTGTGGAAAGAAAGATTACCATACAGCATAAAAATAATATTTTAATTCTGTAATATTAGTGTGTACTGGAAACTCTTGGAGCATAAATGCTTTGACTTTATCTAAAACATGCACTGAAACCAATTAAGTGTAAGTTACCTCTAAATGATTTACCTTCAGTGGAAGCCCATATTAAAGCAATTCACAGGAAAACCATTTTATTAAGATTCTGCCACAGGAAATTGAACCTATGGAATGTTAAAATTCATATAATGACATTCATTCAACACATATATATTGGTTTTTTTACTCTAGGTCAGACAGTGGTAGACACTGGTGAATTAACTATAAATAGGATGTAGCACCTATGAGAGGCACTGTGACATTTTTCTAAAACCTAGAAGGCAGAAGCCTGCCTTCACGTTCTGACTCTGCTATCTTCTCTGCCATTGTGACTATGGAAAAATTATTTAACCTCTTTGTACCTTAATTCCTCATTTGTAAAATAGGGATAATGTTATTTATATTTTGCATATTCATTTGTACTTTATTATATTCATTTTTATATCTATATTGGTGTATATCTACATATCTATATATGGTTATGTATATTTATAATTACACATGATTATACTTACTAATCCATACATATGATTATATCATCACCTGGAACATAGGGAATATATCAATTATCAATTATTCATATGTATATGTGTGTATATATATGTGTTTTGAATATATACATGTGTATGTATCTATATATAGGTTTCTGTAAACACACGCACATATATATAGACACACACATATAGGTATCTATACACACACAAAGATAGACACCTATACATAAAGATACACACATATGTATGTGTATATGTATATGTACATGAGAGAGACAGCTAAGAATTGTATTCAGCTTGTTTTAAGTGCCATGGAAATATATAAGAATCATCATCTTCATTAAATATCTTACAATTTAGAAGGTGAATATGGTGTTTATATTTTTTAATATAAGATTATGAATTGTAATGGGTACAAACTGTTGTGGGATATCAGAATGTGTCATTTTATTGGGGAAGTATAAGATGATTTCATAGACATTGAGAGGTTTTGGTGCGGTGCTGTTTCTTTTGATTTTTCTAAATGAGAAAGAGGAACGTTAGTAAGTAAAGAACGGATTACGGAATATTCAGGGAATTATTATAAGCTCAGGAAGACTCATAAGACATTCGGGAGAAAAGTAACTGACTTGAATCTATGGTGGATATTAGTGACATAGTAGAAATGTTATATTTCCTTGAAGTTGTTTCAAGTTTCTTACTATACTCTGCAAAATTATTAGAGGACTTAATCAGTCCAATATCAGTTCTTGGTAGTTTATCATATTGTGGAATTGATTTGACATCAGTGTTATTACCAGGAAAAAAAAATCTCTGTCAACTTTAAAAGATGGGCCTAACATTTCTTCTTACTCTTAAAACTGCTATTATAAAAGTTTGCTAAGTTGAATTCTCTCACTTTGCTAAGTCAAATTTATTTCATGATTTGTTGAAATGGTCCATGTAAGATGTTATTAGATAAGGGCTTTTAAACAGCAAGTGTTTAATACCTTTAACTTATTCAAGATATATTCAATAAATGAATATTACATATTTTTAAATATTGAAAATATAAATACAGATAAAATATGTTCTCTAGCATTGAGAAAACCATTGTTTTAGAGACTATGCTTGTAGTTGATCTCTAAGGATCTTTCTAGATAGGAACTTTAATAGTTCCACACAATTTTCAGTGTGATAAGAGGATTTTATCAGGCAAGTATCGGTTTTCAATGGTGGATCATAATGTCAAATAGATTTGATACCAGTTTTCTTACCTGGAAACAAATCCATGCTAAGTTGTTAAATATATGTTTAACATTTCCCCTTATGATTAAAACTTTTTGACTCACCAAACTTTTGAGTTTGACTCAAACTATTGATTTCACAGTCTTTTTTTTTTTTTTTTTTTTTTTGACAGAATCTCGCTCTGCCACCCAGGCTGGAGTGCAGTGATATGATCCTGGTTCATTGCAACCTCTACCTTCCAGATTCAAGAAATTCTCCTGCCTCAGTCTCCCAAGTAGCTGGAATTACAGGTATGTGCCACCATGCTCAGCTAAACTTTTTGTGTTTTTAATACAGAAGGGGTTTCATCATCTTGGCCGGGCTAATTTTGAACTCCAGACCTCAAGTGATCCGTCCGCATCAGCCTCCCAAAATGCTGGAATTACAGGTGTGAGCCATCACACCTCGGCCCTGATTTAGCTGTCTTCTTTACGTAGTTTCTGCTTTATATGAGCACAGATGAATATAAAAACGTGTATGAATGATAAATGGGGAATTTAGAACTCTCAAGGAAGAAGTAGCTCAATGACAAATATCTAGAATGCAAAGAACTGGAATGGGACAAATTCTAAATTGGAAATTCTAATTTCCACTAGAAGATCTTTTGCCTGCCATCTTCTCTGGTACCAATCCTAAGTGTGAAGTTTGACAATTTCTTTTCTGTATTTAAATATATTTTTAAACCAATAGTAAATGTTTAAATAAATAAAGAATATAATTTTTCTTCCTGACCACTTCATGTTCTCAGAGCCAAATCTCAATAGTGAATTATCCACTTATATCACTGTTTAAAGTTAGTGCCAGATCTTCCAGGTTTCAGAGCGATTCTAGGAGTCTACTGTGGCTCTCTCTTTTGGGAAATCACGGGGCAGCAAGACGTGTCCACTACTGTTGCCATCAGACAGGAGCAGACACCATGATGAATGTGAGGTGCTAAAGGAATGTGCTCAGATTACACAGAGATAAGAATTGAGGGGTATTTTAGAATTTCTTAGTCTTCATTGATTTTCCAATCTGACAAACACTATTTGAATCCATATTTATTTTTACCTTCATCTATTCTACTTCTCTTGCTCTTATTCTTTCTTTAATTCATCAGACATTTGTAAATTCCTGCCAAATAGCAGAACTATGTTGGATAGGAGGGAGGGTGATGATAAGTATATTATCGATAATGGACTGGGTGGGCACAGGCATAAGAATCAATTTCTCTGTGACCATGTGATAAATTCAATAACAGAGTGGCTTTCACCTTTTTACCTTGCAAGTCTGTCAATTTCCCCCAACAGCACATATCCCACGATTCTCTTTGAGACACGACTATTACATCATCTGCTGAATGCATACTTTGAGTCGTCTGTACTTTGTCTAATTACCATTATGATTTTTCTTCACTTGTCCTAATAATGTACAGGGTGATTTCTGTGACTGTCAAGTAAGGAAGCTGAAGTTTTGAAATGGGATAGTGCTCCATTCCTCCTGAATTTTGATGTACTAGTTCGTGTTTTTACTGTTCTCTGATGAACAGGCCATCCAGTGCTAATGGATTATAATACATTAAGTAAACATATGGTTAAAATGTGAGATGGAGTAGAGGGCAAAGGGCATGAAGAATCAGGATAACTTTATTGTTAGTTCTGTGGGTGTCCTTGGGCAGATAGGAAAATCTTTCTGGGTCTCTCTTCATCTGTAATATGTGGGTAACCAATGCTTTTCCTCTCTTTCCCATGGGCATATATTGAGAAAAGCTTCTGAAAGCATGATTCCACATTGCATTCCCTGCATCTAGCATAGAAATTGTTACTGCATATATGTTTTAAAACTATGTTAAATAAATGAGTAATATGTACTTTGAAAAGCAGAAAATGCTGTAGAGTATACATATAATGGATTACTAGTACTTTATTTATCTAGAGCTTGTGCACTTAGGGATGTTTGGAATAGCTGTAAAAATGGCTTCTCATACTTTTCAGCTTGGTAAAATGGATATTAAATCAGTTCAAGGGTAAGAATGACATTATGCAGTGAGGACTGAAGCTCTGGGATCTGATATTCATGCATGGAGGTTCCCACAATAGCCAGGGGCATGGCACCTTCATGCATCAAAATAATGGAACAATGTTGACAATAATGAAGATGAATCGCATGATTTTAGGCATTGATCTACTTGTGTTTTCAACTGTGAAAGTGTAGATGATCCTAAGTGTTGGCCAATGCAGCTTAAAAACCGCTCAATAATTATACATCCAACTATATAGGAAACAAATGTATATACTTATTCTTTTATATGCCAATGTTTTAAAATGTTTTCCAAATGAATTGTGGACATCACTATGACTTGGTGCATTATTAATAATTAAATGAGCAGCATAAACTTTGATGTTCACATTTTGGTTTTGTTGTGCTTTTGTGGGCTCTGTGGAAACGAAATCTTTTCTCATGAGCATCTTGAAATAGCTAAGTGATTTTCATCAACCAATACCTGAAGCTTAGAATAACTATCTTATCAACTCCTAGCTGTCTAAAGAGTTATTTGATATTAGATTCTCCTGTGTAAAAATACCTGGTGGAGCAACATGACTTATCTAGGGAGAATACAAATGTCCTTCGCATAGCTTAAAACATTATTCTCATGTTGACTTCAGCTTGACTGTTCAGGTATGTTATCTCAGTTAACCATTTGCCCCATACCTAGGAGTGAATGGCTATTCAAAATACTGGCAAAAGGAAGAGTTCCTACCATTGATAGAGAGACTTTGCTAGGACCAGAGTAAGAAGACGAGCATTAGCAAAAAGTGTGGGCTAGTGGAATAGCTTGATATCTGGGGATTCCAAATGTAAAAACAATTTTTCTAATTCTGGAAAGCCTTCTAATTCTGGAAAGATGGAAGAGATATACTTTGCCCTATTCCTCCCACTAATTATAAACAACCACCCTATAGCTTATATTTAAAACAAATGTGAAAATATTCTGAAAGCTGAAAGGAAGAAGACAAAGAGTCTAGGGATTTTAGGACTTAAGGAATGACATGGTGGTGAGTTTCCTGATTTTATTTTTGCCTGATAAATTCCAGAAATGAAGATGAAGATGAAGATGAAGATGCTGGTAACCCAGAAATGCCAATACATAGACAAAATAATGTCTCAAAAAAAATCTGCCTTTCTAGTAAAAAGACCAGGAAAGAGACAACCAAGGAAGATAGTTATTTGGCTCCCACTGCAGCCAAATAACACACATGCACACAAACCCATGCATACACTCTGTGGCTCCACCCCTAACCCCACCAGCAAAGGTAGAGTGAAGAGCCTAGACTTCCATCCTTTCCAGGTTGAAAGAAGATGCTCCAAACTTTCTGCAGAGAAATTTGAGCAAGTTTCACAGTTTTCCCCGTTGCCCAGCAGTAATAGCCTAGACTTTGACTCCCACCTGGCAGTAATGAAGCACCCCATTCTCCCCATTGAGGTGGTATCAGAGGAGATTGAATAAAGAGTCAGGATATTCCCCACTGTCCATTGATAATCATATCACATCCATCTGTGTTTCAGGTCATCTGAACAGAGGATATCACTAGCAGTATACTCAAAAAAAAGTTATAATGGCACCAAAATTTCCAAACTTGACAAAATATATAAACCGACAGATTTAAGAAACTGAATAAACTCTAGACAGCATAACCCCACCCCCACCAAAATCCACACAAAGATACATCATAGCCAAACTTGTGAAAACTAAGGGCAAACTAAATGAACATCTTGAAGGCAGCAAGAAAGAAATAACAACTTGCATATGGGGGAACAATTCAAATGATGATAGATTTCTCATTGGAAACTGTGAAAGCCAAAAGAAAGTCGCACATCAATTTTCAAGTGATGAAAGGGAAAAAATGTCAACCTATAATTCTGTCTCCATCAAAAATGTTCTTCAGGATTAAATGGAAAATTAAGACATTCTCAGATGGAAGAAAACTAAAATAATTTGTTGTTAGCTGACCTACCTTGGAGAATGGCTAGAGGAAGTTCTCTAACATAAAGAAAGCCACAAAAGATGAACCATGAAACAAGAAGGGAAAGAATACAGTAAGCAAAAAATATGTCTAAATATAACAGAAACCCCTTGTCCTGTTTTTTTCTAAATTATGCTTGCTGGTAGAAGTAAAAATTAGAATGCTGTCAGATGTGGTAGTTAAAAACATGTAAAGGAAAATTTTAAAACATTGTAAGTGGGGGATAGTAAAGGGAGATGAGATTTCTATATATCAATTAAATTTACACATATACATTTATATTAAATATGTCAATTTACATTTTTTGTGTATACCCACACATACTACAGTACCTACAGCAACCACAGAAAAGGCATACAAAAGGAATACACTCAAAAATACTTTGGCTAAATCAAAATGGAACTCTAAAACACATTCAAATAATCCACAGAGCAGGGAAAAGGAAAACAGAAATACAAAACAAGAAAAGAGGGAAGAAAATAAAAATAATAAAAGATGAAAAGAAAGACTTAAGCCCTAATATAACAATAATTATATTAAATCTAAATGTTATGAATAACTCAAATAAAACAAAGAAATTGAAAGAGTAGATTAACATGACCCAGCTATATGCTATCTACAAGTAAATTCACTGAAAATATAACGTTAAGGCAGATTGAAATAAAAAAGATGAGAAAAACATAGCATGCAAACATTGGTCAAAAGAAAGCAAGGGGTGGCTATATCAATATCAGATAAAGTAGACTTGAGAAAAAAGAGAGGGAAATTATATAATGATAAATGATTAGTGTCTCAAGAAGATATAACAGTCCTAAATGTGCATATGCCAGGTAACAGAGCTACAATATATTTAAAAAAAAACACAGGCATAACTTAAAGGA
The DNA here is from genome assembly GCF_000001405.40 of Homo sapiens. Taxonomy (NCBI): domain Eukaryota; kingdom Metazoa; phylum Chordata; class Mammalia; order Primates; family Hominidae; genus Homo; species Homo sapiens. The sequence goes on from NC_000016.10 coordinate 64,604,891, forward strand.
GAAATAAACAAATTAACTAGTGTAATGAGATACTTCAACACTTCTATATTTATAATTAATAAAACAACTAGATAGAAAATTAGCAAGAATACAGAATAACTAAACTACAATATCAATCAATAGGCTCTAATTGCCATTCGTAGAACACTCCACCCAACAGCAAAATAGACATCTTTTTAAACTTTTCTTGGAAGAAATTTTAGAGTAGACCATATTTTATTACATAAAACCCCATCCAACAAGTTTAAAAGAACTGAAATGACATACAATGTTACTAATATTTGACACACAGTGAAATCAAACTAGAAGTAAATAATAGAAAGAGAGGAACATCTCTAAACCCTTGGAAACTAAACAACACACTTCAAAATAATCCATGGACCCTTTGAAACTAACAACACACTTCAAAATAATCCATGGGTAAAGGAGGAAGTCCCAAGGGAAACGGTAAAAAACAAGAACAATGAACTGAATGAAAATAAAAACGCGGTGTATAAAAACTTGAGGATCACAGCTAAAACTGTCTTGCAAGGGAAATTTATTATACCAAATGCATACATTAGAAAAGAGGAAGCCTCAAAACAAAATCTAGGCTCTCACCTTAAGGTCCCAGCAAAAGGGAAGCAAAATAAACCCAAAGCAGCAGTAGGAAAAAAATAATGAAGATAAAAGCAAAAATATATGAAACTGAAAATGGGAAAACAGTAGAGAAAATCAATGAATTGATGTTCTGTTTTATGAAAAAAAATAAGTAAAATTGACAACACTGTAGCCTAACAGACAAGAAAAGAGAGAGAATACACAAAATATCAATTTCACAAGTGAAAGAGAGAATATCACTACAGACCCTGTAACAAATAAAGGATAATAAGAAAAAAACAGGAACCACTCTGCACACATAATTGCATTTGTTTTCTCCTTGAGCTGCAACTGCGAGTTGTCTTACCCTGTCTTTGGGGGCCTGACATAATAGTCATCAACATTTTTATTCTTGCTCTATTTCCAAGGATGTCTTGGTTCCCTTCACAACCCCTGCCCCCAATAAATGATCCTAATCAGAAAACCATTTCTCTCTCTTATTCAAGAAAGTCTGTTCCTCTGTTTCTTCAATGCCCTCTTGGTCTTAAGCAGAAAATCCAAAATCCAGATTTCCAAAATCTGAAATCCAAAATCCAGACAATGAGGCAATTGGAAAGCTACTTTTCTTACCTTCCAAGTTCACCATGTTCCATATCCCTACAAACACCCTCAATCAAGCTCATCAGAAAGCATGAGATTGCTCTGTCAGGAATGTCAGTCACCGCTTACTTCTCTCCCTGGTTCACTCTTCCTCATCTTTTCTGATGGGCTCATCACTTAGTGGTATTCATTAAATTATTGTCCATCTCCTGCACTGTGAGACCCTTGATGATAGAAACTTTAAGTTTTTTATTGTGCATATCAACACCTCAGCATATTGCATTTTATGTTGGTTCACAAAGGAAAACACCTCCAGTAATTACTCAAGGAACTTCTCACAAATACAGATTATCAGGCTTGATCATGAGATTCTGATTCCATACAACTTGGAAGAGGCACAGAAATCTGCATTTCCATAAAGTCTTCATGAGAACTTGGTGCAGATGTCCCAAATTTAAGAATAATTAGCAGGAAATAATGAAAAATTAAATAAAGAATGAAAATAACAAATTAGCTGTATTCATTTTATTAAATTATTCATTATAAATCCTTGTCCTAAGTCTAAAAATAATTCCAGCAAAACAACTATTTCAAGTTACCTCCCAAAACATAAATGATGTAAAACATCAAGACTATGTGTTAGCTGTAAAGGAAATAACAAGGCAAAATGTTGGTTGGTTGATTAGTTTAATAGTGAAGCTTCTTTGAACACTTTTATTTTTCAAGTTTATATCTTCCTAACACTTAATTATGCACTAAACTCTTACATCCCCATTGCTTCATATCGTCTTCACAATAACATCTAGAACTAGAAAGGCAAGTAATAATTATTTTTTTCAGATATATGTGAAGAAAATAAAGCTTAAAGAGGTCAAGACACTTTAAAACAAATTAAACACATTACACATTAAAACAAATTAATCCCATCAGCTTATTATAATAGCTACTTGTGATTTTTAATTTGGGAAAATCAACCTTTTTCAGGTGCATACATGTATATCCATAGCTACAATCCATATATCCATAGCTGCAATCAACATAGATGTATGTTTAACTCTGTTGTTTTATATTAGTTTTTCATGTTATCACAGACTTCATAATTTTTGTCATTTATGTATACATTTTTATTAGTTGATACTCATCCATCCTGTTGAGGAAACATGATTTATTCATCCATTTACCTGCTATTGATCATTTGTTCATATCCACATTTTAAACTGCATTTTTAAAATATTCTTATAATGAACACATCTGTGACCAAGTACCTATAACTGTGTGTGTGTGTGTGTGTGTGTGTGTGTGTGTGTGTGTGTGTGTGTGTGTTGTAGGCATTTGAGATTTGAAACCAGATAGCCTGACTAGAACATGAGAAACTGTTTTTCTAATTTTAATTGTAAGATTTTAGTCAGACAGAGTTAAGACACTGGTTTTTAATCTTTCACCACAAACCAGAAAATTCTTCATTTGAATGAAATATCAAAATCCTCAGCAAATCTTCCAATTTTCTTCTGCAGCGTGTAGTAGAGATCCATCCAATTTTAAGTCCCAGCCTTTCTCAGAAAAATATGTTCGTATAAATTCTCCATTAATGAAGAGGTCTTATATACATACTAGTATGTTTAGAATATCTGGGGGACTATATCTATTACACAAAATTTTTGCTAAACCTTAGACAAAAAAAGAATCAAGTTCCCAAATCCAAGATATAGGTAGTATGCTAAATAATGTAAAAAGCAAAAGTTATATAACAATTTAGGAATACAAGGAAATATTTATACCTAGATTTTGACTGAGACTATTATATCTCAATTGACCACAAAATCGGCCTTTGGGCTTTTAAAAGCCAAAGATTATATAGGAAACATGATGGATATCTAGTTTCTAAAACTATTAACATTCATAATTATAATTTGCCTTTTGGAAACTGGGACTCTAAAAAATGCTAATAGTGAGACTCAAAACATTGATACGCAGATAAAATTGGAAATACATGCAAATCAATTACACAAGGCCAGGCTCATTGTTGAAGTTTGCTATTGTACCTGCAGTAAAAGTTAGATGTTAAAATTGCCGAGATAATATTGAAAATGTGAGTCAGCAAGCAGAATTCCCTAATAACACACTTTACAAAAAATGTTTTCAAATAATGTGAAAGATTAGGTTTTGCTCTGTTTTGTTATGTTGTGTCATAACTTCCTTATCTAGAAATAAACTAACATTGAGATGGGTTTAATAGTTAAGATATCCACACAGAGTTGGTTTGGAGGGTCTGTGAAACAGATTTGATCTCAAACTTTGATGAGCATGGTTTCTAAATTGAGGTAGGAAAAGATCATGAGTCCAAACAGTAAAAGCCATTCAAATAAAGAGATCAGAATTAGTAATTTCAAGGAGAATACAATCAGGAAGAACTGGATTTCCAAGCTGGCCATTAATAATCAATTTGAATTGAAATAACGCTAACACTGGAATTAACTATGTACTACATACAACTTAATTATGAAAACAAGCTTGCCTAAACACATGATAGAACAATGACAGCAGGCAGGCCTTGAGAGACTGAAATGTTGTGAAAAAATAAATACATGGGTAAGCTCTACACTCACCCCATCCTTTCCATGAGGTTTCGTACCAGTTTACCGCAAAGTGAAATAAAACTCAAGGAGAAGCTCAGTCTTGGTTACTGAGGAAACAGAGAATAGAATTCCAAAATGCCAAATAAACTGGATATAGTTGCAACATCTTTGATAGGAGAAAACTGGAAAGAAGTGAGGCAAAAATTGTGTGTGTAGTATCTTCTTGAGGAACTGGCCAATTCCAAACCTGTTCCAGCATAAGACAAGACCAGGTAACCCAGAATAAACCGCATCTGGAAGACCAAAGAACTTAACAGAAATGTTAGCATTCAGTAGTTGATGAGAAGAGGAAGGTTGGCATTAAAGCCCTGCAAATGTAAAAAAAACATGGTGACTACAACTTACTCAAGAATAGAGAGAAAATGGAAACAGACCAGCCTGAATAAAGCCAAAACTAACTCACAACAGCAGCAAGATAGTCAACTGGTTCTCTCTGCCAGCCAGGAAAAATAAAAATAAAAGTCTTTTTTGAAGTAGGTAGTGTTGCTCATAGTGTCCACAGTTTTTAATTCAAAATATCTAACATCCAACAAAAACCTGTGGAACTAAGATTGTCAGAATACAATGAACATTAACTGCTGCATATGATTGTTGGATATGACAGTATCATCACATTACACCAGAGAAAGCCTGTGTATTTGGAACTGGGACACTACATATATTTTTTCAAGATTGACTTTGTGACCTTGAGCAAACTGCATAACTTGTTTTTTTAAAAAATTAAATAAATTATAAATTATTTTAGAAATGAGCATCACAATCCCTACTTGTCCCTTCTGATGGGCTGCTGTGGAATCAAAAGTTTAAATTGCATGCTTATGTCAATTACAGAACAGAAATTCTATAGTTCAGTTTTCTCCTTTTTTTTTCCTTTAGTTCTTCTAAAAAAATGGGATGCATGTGCAGAACATAAAGGTTTGTTACATAGGTATACATGTGCCATCCTGGTTTGTTGCACCTATTGACCCATATTCTTAAGTTCCCTGTCCTCAACCCCTACCCCCCAACAGACCCTGGTGTGTGTTGTTCCCCTCCCTGTGTCCATGTGTTCTCATTGTTCAACTCCCACTTATGAGTGAGAACATTCGGTGTTTGATTTTCTGTTTCTGTGTTTGTTTGCTGAGGATGATGGCTTCCAGTTTCATCCATGTCCCTGCAAAGGACGTGATCTCATTCCTTTTTATGGCTTCATAGTATTCCTTGGTGTATGTGTATCACATTTTCTTTATCCAGTCTATCATTGATGGGCATTTGGGCTGGTTCCAAGTCTTTGCTATTGTAAATAGTGCTGCAGTAAACATAGGTGTGCATGTGTCTTTATAGTAGAATGATTTATATTCCTTTGGGTATACACACCCAGTAATGGGTCAAATGGTATTTCTGGTTCTAGATCCTCAAGGAATTGCCATACTGTCTTCCACAATGGTTGAACTAATTTACATTCCCACCACCAATGTAAAAGCATAGCTATTTCTCCACACCCTCGCTAGCATCTATTGTTTCCTGACTTTTTAATAATTGCTATTCTGACTGGTGTGAGATGGTACCTCGTTGTGGTTTTGATTTGCATTTTCCTGATGATCAGTGATGTTGAGCTTTTTTTCATATGTTTGTTGGCTGCATAAATGTCTTCTTTTGAGAAGTGTCTGTTTGTATCCTTTGCCCACTTTTTGATGGGGTTTTTTTCTTGTAAATATATTTAAGTTCCTTCTGAATGCTGGATATTAGACCTTTGTCAGATGGGTAGATTGCAAAATTTTTCTCCCATTCTGTAGGTTGCCTGTTCACTGTGATGATAGTCTCTTTTGCTGTGCAGAAGCTCTTTCGTTTAATTAGATCCCATTTGTCAATTTTGGCTTTTGTTGCAATTGTTTTTGGTGTTTTTGTCATGAAGTCTTTGCCCATGCCTATGTCCTGAATGGTATTGTCTAGGTTTTCTTCTTGGGTTTTTATGGTCTTGAGTTTTACATTCAAGTCTTTAATCCATCTTGAGTTAATTTTTGTATAAGGTGTAAGGAAGGGGTCCAGTTTCAGTTTTTTGCATTTGGCTAGCCAGTTTTCCCAGGACCATTTACTGAATAGGAGAGCCTTTCCCCATTGCTTGTTTTTGTCAGGTTTGTTGAAGATCAGATGGTTGTAGATGCGTGGTGCTATTTCTGAGGTCTCTGTTCTGTCTGCTCCATTGGTCTATATATCTGTTTTGGTACCAGTACCATGCTGATTTGGGTACTGTAACCTTGTAGTATAGTTTGAAACAGGTAGTGTGATGCCTCCAGCTTTGTTCTTTTTGCTTAGGATTGTCTTGGCTATACAGAGTCTTCTTTGATTCCACATGAAATTTAAAATAGTTTTTTTCTAATTCTGTGAAGAATGCCAGTGATAGTTTGATGGGAATAGCATTGAAGCATTGAATCTATAAATTATTTTGGTCAATATGGCCATTTCCATGATATTGATTCTTCCTATCCATGAAGATGGAATGTTTTTCCATCTGTTTGTGTCCGCTCTTATTTCCTTGTGCAGTGGTTTGAAGTTCTCCTTGAAGAGGTCATTCACATCACTTGTTAGCTGTATTCCTAGGTATTTTATTCTCTTTGTAGAAATTGTGAATGGGAGTTCATTCATGATTTGGCTCTCTGCTTGCCTAATGTTGGTGTAAAGGAATGCTTGTGAATTTTGCATATTGATTTTGTACCCTGAGACTTTGTCAAAGTTACTTATCCATTCAAGAAGTTTTTGGGCTGAGGTGATTTGGTTTTCTAAATATAAAATCATGTCATCTGCAAACAGAGACAACTTGACTTCCTCTCTTCCTATTTGAATACGCTTTATTTCTTTCTCTTGCCTGATTGCCCTGGCCAGAATTTCCAATACTGTGTTGAATAGGAGTGGTGAGAGAGGGCACCCTTGTCTTGTGCCAGTTTTCAAAGGGTTCCAGCTTTTGCTCATTCAATATAATATTAGCTGTGGGTTTGTCATGAATAGCTCTTATTATTTTGAGATATGTTCCATCAATACCTAGTTTATTGAGAGTTTTTAACATGAAAGAATGTTGAATTTTATTCAAGGCCTTTTCTGCATCTATTGAGATAATCATGTGGTTTTTGTCTTTGGTTCTGTTTATGTGATGGATTACGTTTATTGATTTCCATATGTTGAACCAGGCTTGCATCGCAGGGATCATGATGGATAAGTTTTTTGATGTGCTGCTGGATTTGGTGTGGCAGTATTTTATTGAGGATTTTTGCATCAATGTTCATCAGGGATACTGGTCTGAAGTTTTCTTTTTTTGTTGTGTCTCTTCCAGGTTTTGGTATCAGGGTGATGCTGGATTCATAAAATGAGTTAGGGAGGAGTCCCTTCCTTTCAATTGTTTGGAATAGTTTCAAAAGGAATGGTACCCGCTCCTCTTTCTATTTCTGGTAGAATTCAGCTGTGAATCCATCTGACCTTGGGCTTGTTTTGGTTGGTAGACTATTAATTACTGCCTCAATTTCAGAGCTTGTTATTGGTCTATTCAGGGATTCAACTTTTTTTCTGTTTTAGTCTTGGTAGGGTGTTTGCATCCAGGAATTTATCCATTTCTTCTAGGTTTTCTACTTTATTTATGTAGAGGTGTTTATAGTATTCTCTGATGGTAGTTTGTATTTCTGTGGGGTCAGTGGTGATATCCCCTTTATCATTATTTATTGTATCTATTTGATTCTTCTCTCTTTATTAGCCTAGGTAACAGTCTATCTATTTTGTTAATTTTTTCAGAAAAACAGCTTCTGGATTCGTTGATTTTTTGGAGGGTTTTTGTGTCTCTACCACCTTCATTTTTTCTCTCTTCTTAGTTATTTCTTGTCTCCTGGTACCTTTTGGATTAGTTTGCTCTTGCCTCTCTAGCTCTTTTGTCATGTTAGGATGTCAATTTGAGATTGTTCTAGCTTTCTGATGTGGGCATTTAGTGCTATAAATTTCCCTCTTAACACTGCTTTAGCTGTGTCCCAGAGATTCTGCTGCATTGTCTCTTTATTCTCACTGGTTTCAAAGAACTTCTTGATTTCTGCCTTAACTTCATTATTTACCCAGGAGTCATTCGGTGGCAGGTTGTTCAATTTCCATAAAATTGTGTGGTTTTGAGTGAGTTTCTTAACTCTGAGCTCTAATTTGATTGCACTGTGGTCTAAGAGACTGTTTGTTATGATTTCAGTTCTTTTGCATTTGCTAAAGAGTGTTTTACTTTCAATCATGTGGTCAATTTTAGAATATGTGCCATGTGGCACGGAGAAGAATGTATATTCTGTTGATTTGGGGTAGAGAGTTCTGTAGACATCTGCTAGGTCCACTTGATCCAGAGCTGAGTTCAAGTCCTGAATATCCTTGTTAATTTTCTGTCTCATTGATCTGTCTAATACTGACAAGGGAGTGTTAAAGTCTCCCACTATTATTGTGTGGGAATCTAAGTCTCTTTGTAGTTTTCTAAGAACTTGTTTTATGAATCTGGGTGCTCCCTTATTGGATATATAGTCAGAATAGTTAGCTCTTCTTGTTGAATTGTTCCCTTTACCATTACATTATGTAGTGCCCTTCTTTGTTTTTGTTCGTTTGTTTGTTTTTTATCTTTGTTAGTTTAAAGTCCGTTTTGTCAGAGACCGGGATTGCAACTCCTGTTTATTTTTTGTTTGTTTGTTTGTTTGTTTTGTTTTGTTTTGCTTTCCATTTGCTTGGTAAATTTTCCTCCATCCCTTTAGTTTGAGCCTGTGTGTGTCTTTGTGTGTAAGATGGGTCTCCTGAATATGGCATACCAATTGTTCTTGACTCTTCATCCAATTTGCCAATCTGTGTCTTTTAATTGGGACATTTAGCCCATTTACTTTTAAGGTTAGTATTGTTATGTGTGAATTTGATCCTGCCATCCTGACACTACTTGGTTATTTTGCACATTAGTTGATGCAGTTTCTTCATAGTCTTTACATTTTGGTGTGTTTTTGCAGTGGCTAGTACCAGTTTTTCCTTTTCATATTTAGTGCTTCTTTCAGGAGCTCTTGCAGGGCAGGGCTGGTGGTAACAAAATCCCTCAGCATTTGTTATCTGGAAAAAATTTTGTTTCTCCTTCGCTTATGAAGCTTAGTTTGGCTGGATATGAAATTCCAGGTTGAAAATTCTTTTCATTAAGAATGTTGAATATTGGCCCCCAGTCTTTACTGGCTTATAGAGTTTCTGCTGAGACATCAGCTATTAGTCTAATAGGGTTCCTTTGTAAGTGACCTGGGCTTTCTCTCCGGCTGCCCTTAACAGTTTTTCCTTCATTTTGACCTTGGAGAATCTGATGATTATGTGTCTTGGGGTTGATCTTCTCATGGAGTATCTTTTTTTTTTTTTTGAGACGGAGTCTTGCTCTGTCACCCAGGCTGGAGTGCAGTGGCATGGTCTTGGCTCACTGCAAACTCCACCTCCCGGGTTCACACCATTCTCCTGCCTCAGCCTCCCGAGTAGCTGGGACTACAGGCGCGCACCACCAAGCCCGCCTAATTTTTTGTGTTTTTAGTAGAGACAGGGTTTCACCGTGTTAGCCAGGATGGTCTCGATCTCCTGATCTCATGATCCGCCCGCCTCAGCCTCCCAGAGTGCTCATGGAGTTTCTTAACGGTGTTTTCTGTATTTCCTGAATTTGCATGTTGGTGTGTTTCCTAGGTTGGGGAAGTTCTCCTGGATAATATTCTAAAGTGTGTTTTCCAGCTTGTTTCAGTTCTCCCTGTCTCCTTCTGGTATTCCCATCAATCATAGGTTCGGTCTTTTTATAAAGTCCCATATTTCTTGGAGGCTTTGTTCATTCCTTTTCATTCTTTTTTCTCTATTCTTGTCTACGTGTCTTATTTCAGTAAGGTGGTCTTCAAACTCTGATATCCTTTCTTGCGCTTGGTCGATTTGGCTGTTGATACTCGTGTATGCTTCACGAAGTTCTTGTGCCGTGTTATTCAGCTCCTTCAGGTCATTTATGTTTCTCTCTAAACTAGTTATTCTAGTTAGCAATCCCTGTAACCTTTTATCAAGGTTCTTAGCTTCTTTGCATTGGGTTAGAACATGCACCTTTAGCTCAGGGTTGTTTTTTATTATCCATCTTCTGAAGCCTACTTCTGCCAATTTGTCCATCTGATCCTCCGTCCACTTGCATGCCCTAGATGGAGAGATATTGCAATCATTTAAAGGAGAAGAGGCACTCTGGCCTTTTGGGTTTTCCACATTTTTTGTTTATTCTTTCTCATCTTCATGAGTTCGTCTAGTTTTGGTCTTTGAGGCTGCTGACACTTGCATCGGGTTTTTGTGGGGGACTTTTTTGTTGTTGTTGATATTCTTGTCACTTTCTGCTTGTTTGTTTGTTTCTTTCAATAGTAAGCTCCCTCTTCTGTAGAGCTGCTGCAGTTTGCTGGGGGTTCATTTCAGGCCCTATTCATCTGATTTGCTCCCGTGCCTGGAAATATCACTCAAGGAGGCTAGAAAATAGCAAAAATGGGTGCCTGCTCCTTCTTCTGGAGCCTCTGTCCTCAAGAGGCACCAAACTGATGCCAGTAGGATCACTCCTATATAGGGTGTCTGACAACCCCTGTTGGAGAGTCTCACCCAGTTGGGTGGCACAGGGAGCACTTCGTCCCTTGGTGGACAAAGGAAGCACTTTGTCCCTTGGTGGAGATAGTGTGCTTCACTAAGGGGAAACCCACTTGTCTGGGCTCCCTGGATTTCTCAGAACTTCCAGGAGGAGAGGGTAAGTCTGCTGGCCCACAGAGACTGTGGCCACCCCTCCCCCTAGGGTCTCAGGCCCAGGGAGATCCGAATTCTGTACCTGAGCCTCTGGCTAGAGTTACTGGAGATCCTGCAGGGAAGGCCCGCCGAGTGAGGAAGGATGGGTCAGGTTTAGGCCTGAAAAGGCACTCTGGCAGCAGTCTGCCACAGCCAGTATGATGGGCTGTGGGGACAAGCCTTGGGACTAAGCTGTCCAGCCTCCTTGGCTCCAGCAAGGGAAAAGCATAGCCTGGAGCTATCGAAATGAGTTGCCACCCTTCCCCCACCCAGGGAGTTTAGCATGTTGGCAGTTGCCAGTGGCAGTGCTGGCTGCTGCCCCTCCCCCAAGAAGCTCAAACAGCTTAGACAGCAGGCAGCCACAGCTGGTGCTGCTTGCCTCTCCCCGCAGGAGTTTGGCAGGCTTAAGCAGATTGCAGCTGAGAGGCTGTAAGAATCTGTATGTTCCAGGGTTGGGGTGCTAGGCCCCAGTAGCTTGGGTTCATGAGTAGGATCTTCCAATCCATGGGTTGCATAGTTCCTTGGAAAAAGCAGTGTCCCCAGCTGGGTAGCACGCTCACTCACTGCCTCCCTGGCTGGAGAGGGGAGGTTTCCCTTCCCCGTGTGGCTGTCAGGTGGGCTGTGGCACCACACTGTTCTTCCTTCTCTCCGGGAGTCAGGCCAGCCTTCTAGTCAATTTTAATGAGAGAACCTGGATACCTTGATTGTCGGTGAAGGATTCACATGCTTATTATGTGGTTGTTTGTTTGTTTGTTTGTTTTTTCTTCAATAGGAGCCTCAGAATACAGCTGCTTCTAGTCAGCCACCTTGGCCCTGCCCCCCAGATATCTCCTTTTTATGGAGGTTGAAGGTAGGATCCAGCTGGGGAAAAAGTGGTTCATGTCTATGTTGCTAGCTCAAGACAAAGCCCACTTCAGAAAATGTGCTCCAATTAGTACTCCTTTTTCACATATTCCATAAGAATGAATGATTATGGTTGATTATGGTGGTATCCTCATTATCTGAATGTAATCAGATTGATGTTTTCAGAATACTTTATTCAACTTAACTCTGTTAAGGGGTAAACCAGTTTATGGATGGTTAAATGTACAGAGATAAAGAATCGTGCCCACTTCATCTATGGAACAAATATTTGAGTACTATCTTAGAACAGGCATTGTTCTAAGTGCTTAGGATACATCATTGAAAAAAACACAATAATTCCTGTCCTTGAGGTGCTTGCATTCTAACAAAGGAAAACAGCAAGTATAGACATAAACACAAAAATAAGAAAGCTATATATTAGGACATGATAAACACTGTATGGAAAAATAGAAAGGTAATGCAGGCTTTGGTCATGATGTAAGTGAAGGTAGAGATTGTCAGCCATTTTTAATAGGCTTTTAAAATATTACCTCATGAAGAAGGTGACATTTTAATTTGGGGCAATACTTGAAGGAGGTAAAATGTTTGAAAAATGATGAGGATATCTAGTGGACAGGAGTAATCCATGCAGTGTTTCTGAGGAGCAGCCAAAGCATTAGTGGCTGGGGCAAAGTGGGTGTGAGATTAAGGCTAGAAGATGAGACCAGAGGGTAACAAAGGGGCCAAATTATGTAAGGTCTGGTAGAATTTGGCTTTTCTTGTGAATGAAATGAGAAGTTGTTGTAAGATTCTGAACAAAGGGACAACATGATTTTATTTAAATATTCAAATAATCATCCAGTTTTCTATTTTGAGAAAAGATTCAGGGATAGGATGGGACAAGAATAGAAGCAGAGGAGGCTGGGTGTTGGCTAGTTGCGCAAACCCATGCAGCTCATCCTGGTGCTTGGAACTATGATGGTGACAGTAAGAGTGGGGTAAATTATTTGGGTCTAGTTACTTTTTGAAGCCAGAGTCAACAAGATTTCCTACTGAGTAGTCTGTGGGACATGAGAGAAGAATGGTGAATCAAGAAGAAATCCAATTTTATTGGCCTTAGTATCTAAAAGGAACTTCCAACAGCTGAGTTGAGAAATACTGCAGGTAAAGCAACTTTGAAGAGGAAAATCAGAAGTTGTCTTTGGGGCATATTATAATTTAAAAAAATATTAAATAATTGGATGGAAAACTCAACCCATTTATCATTTATTTCAACATAAAAAGACGGAATACATTGATTGTTCTCATTTTGGCTCTCCTAAGCATTCCCCCAAGCAATACAGGAAGTGAACTTAATAGAATCAGTGATATTTATTGCTTTTTTAACATAAATCTTCACATGTTCTATTTGAAATGAGTAGTGTGGTCCCTTGCAATTACTTTTTTATTCCAACCTGTTCAAATATTTGAGTGGAAAATGGTCTTATCGGGTCATCGTGGAGCCTTTGCTATTGCTGAGCTAATAACACTTTTTTTGAAAACTCCATTTAAATGGTGCAGATGAAAACCTATGCCTCCTCTCTATGTCACTCCCAAACACATTGGGAGATGAACCACAGGGGAAGCCCATATGTTAGAAAGGCATGCTTCATTTAGCTATTGCAACACGCTGGCTGAAGGGTGCTATAGATGGAGTTGCTTAGAAAAGATTACATCTCTTGGCTTCTGGCAAAGGAAAAAAAGTGTTTAAAAAGGCTGTACTGAGGGCTAAGAGCTTTATTGAAATTCTACAGGAGGCTTACAGAAATGGTGAGCTTCTGACCTGTTATCAGGTACCAGCATTTGGACATCTTGACACTCTATAATTGAAATTCATTGCTTGACCTTTAGTCTATAAAAATGGTATGCTGTCATTAGCACTGACTGCTTGCTGTATTCTCCTGTCACTCCTTAGACCAGCTTAAACCATCTCAGATGAAATAGCCTATTTCATGTCAGACCTCAGAGTTTGCCACTATTAAAGTGGAAAGCTAAAGCAATGTTTAGCAATGTGGTAAAGACTAATGCAATAGAATTGCTAGAGAAGTAGGAGTCTTTCTTTTTTAAATTCCCTTTAAAAATTAATGCTCTCTGGTATGGTACCATCTCTATTACACTACTCCTGTCAGAGTGAGAACCATTACTTTTTTTAATTGCATTTTAATTTAACCTGTGAATGCCACACTGTCTACCTTACATTTGACAAAGTATTCGAATGTTAGTTCACCAAGAAGACAAGTTAATGTAAGAATTACAAGGTAATATTTCACACTCATGATGTGAAGAATTGAGGCAATTATATGGATATTTTAGCCAAAAAAAAAAATCCATGCTGCCATAATTTTTTGAAAATTTTAGGTAACAGAGAAATTGATGGGTTTGGGTGATTTAACCCACACTTTATTCTGAGAATTACTTTATTTATCACTTGATGTCATCAGTTCCAATCCGATGGTCAGAGAGATGTTAGTTGTTCTGAGTATCCATGTTATAAGAGTAGTCACCTCGTTAACTAAAGAAATGGGATGACCTGGCTGTTGACAACTACAACTCTTGAACTGTCTCAAATCACATAGAGCTAAAGAGGATTCATCTTCTTGGTGACTTAAGAAACTGAATTGTAAAAACATGGAAAATCATTCTACTTCTTTCCGATGTATGGTCTCAATTTTCCTTTATGCAAAAACAGACTTCAAAAACATTATTGTGAAATGATTGTGGAAAAATCAAAGCACGGTGTTTAGAGTGACGGAAATATTTCTCTCAAGTCAATACCGTATTCTGTTCTAGGTCATTCATAAACTTAACCCGTGCATAACTGCTGAGAATTAGCTTTCCTCTCTCTCCTCCAAGTTTAAAAGAGCTTTTTATCTCTTATTTTCTTAAATACGTCAAACAGCATTGGATTAATACTGGAATACCAATATCTATGCCTTGGCTTATTTTAAAGAATGCTATTTATTTTTTCATTTTAATTTGTTTTTATTGCAATAACTTTTGGGATATATGTGGGTTTTGGTTACGTGGATAAATTGTATTGTGGAGAAGTCTGGGATTTGGGTGTGTCTGTCACCTGAATGGTATGTATGGTACCTAATAGGTAGTTTTTAAGCCTCACCCTTCTGCCACTCTCCCCGCTTCTAAGTCTTCAATGTCCATTATACCACTCTGTATGCCTCTGCATACCCATAGCTTAGCTCCCATTCATAGGTGAGGCCATGCAGTATTTGGTTTACCATTCCTGAGGCCATGTAGTATTTGGTTTATCATTCGTTAATTTCTTCACTTAGGATAATGCCTCAGTCCCATCCATGTTGCTACAGAAGAAATCATTTCATTCTTTTTATGGTGGAGTAGTATTCCATGGTCTATATATACCACATTTTCTTTATCCACTCTTCACTTGATAGGCACTTAGGTTGATTTCATATCTTTCCAATTATGAATTGTGCTGCAATTCAAATATGGGTGCAGGTGTCATTTTCATATAATGACTTATTTCCTTTTGGGTAAATGCCCATTGCTGGGATTGCTAGATCGAATGATAGATCTACTTTTAGCTCTTTGAGAAATCTCCATACCATTTTCCGTAGAGGTTATATTAATTTACACTCCCACAAGTAGTGTATAAGTGTTCCCTTTTCACCACATCCATGTCAACATATGCTGTTTTTGACTTTTTAATAATGTCCATTCTGATTGAAGTAAAGTGGTATCTCATTGTGCTTTTAATTTGCATTTCATTAATTAGTGATGTTGAGCGTTTTTCATGTTGGCCATTTGTATATTTTCTTTTGAGAAATGTTTATTCATCTTATTTGCCCCTTTTATTGGGATTATTTGTTTATTTCTTACTGATTTGTTTGTGTTCCTTGTAGATTCTGGGTATTAGTTCTTTTTCAGACCCACAGTTTGCAAATATTTTTCTTATTCTGTGGATTATCATTTTACTCTCTTGATTATTTATTTTGCTGTGCAGAAGATTTTTAGTATAATTAAGTCCCATTTATTTATTTTTGTTTTTATTGGATTTGATTTCAAGGTCCTAGTTACAAATGCTTTGCTTAGGCCAATGTCCAGAAGAGCTTTTTTTGTAGATTTTCTTCTAGAATTTGTATGGTTTCAGGACTTACATTTAAGTCTTTAATCCATCTTGAGTTCAATTTCGTATATGGTGAGAAACAGGGATTCAGTTTCATTCTTCATGCAGCTATCCATTTTTTCCAGGACCATTTATTGAAAATGGTATCTTTTCCCCAGTTTATGTTTTGGTGTGCTTTGTCAAAGATCAGGTGTTTGTAGGTATTTGGTTTCATTGCTGGGTTCTCTATTCTGAACCATTGGTCTCTATATCTTGTTTTATAAAAGTGTCATGCTTTTTTGGTTACTGCAGCCTTGTAGCGTAATTTGAAGTCAGGTAATGTGATGCCTCCAGATTTGTTCTTTTTGATTAGGATCGCTTTGGCTATTAGGGCTCTTTTTTGGTTCCGTATGAATTTTAGGATTTTCTTTCTAATTTTATAAAAACTTACATGGATATTTTGATAGAAATAGCCTTGAATCTGTAGATTGCTTTGGTCATTACGGTCATTTTCATGATATTGGTTTTTCCAATGCATGAATATGAGATGTATTTCCATTTGTGTCATCTATCATTTCTTTCTTTAGTGTTTTCTAGTTCTCCTTGTAGAGATCTTTTGCCTCCTTGGTTAAGAATCCTCATATGAATTTATTTTTTGTAAGTTATGTAAAAGGAATTGAGTTCTTGATTTGATTCTCAGATTGGTCATTGTTGGTCTGTACCAGTGCCACTGAGCTGTGCACATTTATTTTGTAAACCGAGGCTTTGCTGAATTCATTTATCAAATCTAGTAGTCTTTTGGAGTAGGCTGTAAGGTTTTCTGGGTATACAATCATATCACCGACAGACATAGTTTGAGTTTGTATTTTCCAATTTGGATTTTCCAGTTTTGGCTATTAGGGCTCTTTTTTGGTTCCATATGAATTTTAGGATTTTTTTTTCTCATTTTATAAAAAATTACATTGATATTTTGATAGAAATATCCTTGAATCTGTAGATTGCTTTGGTCAGTATGGTCATTTTCTGTTATTTTTCTGTTTTTTTTTCTCTTGCTGATGGTTCTGGCTAGGACAGAAGTGGTGAAAGTGGTCATCCTTGTCTTTTTTCAGTTCTTAGGGAAAATGCTTTCAGATTTTCCCCATTCAGTGTGATGTCCATTGGTTTATCATATATGGCTTTTATTATTCTGAGGTATGTTCTTTCTGTGCATAGTTTGTTGAACATTTTTATCATAAAGAGATGCTGAATTTCATTGAGTGTTTTTTCTGCATCGATTGAGATAATCTTATGTTTCTTGTTTTTAATACTGTTTATGTGATGAATCACATTTATTGGCTGGTGTATGTTGAGCCAAACCTCCATTCCTGGGATGAAACTCACTTGATCATGGTGAATTTTTTTTATATGCTGTTGGATTCTGTTTGCTAGTATTTTGTTTAAAATATTTGCATGTATGTCCATTGGGACTATTAATCTATAGTTTTCTTTCCTTGTTACATATTTTCCTGGCTTTGGTACCAGAGTGATACTAGTTTTGTAGAATGAGTTGGAGGAGGATTCCCCTTCTTCTTGATCTTTTACAATAGTTTCAGTAGGATTGGTACAAATTCTTTGAATGTCTGGTAGAATTTAGTTATGAATCAGTCTGATCTTGGGATTTTTTTGCAGATTTTATATTATTGATTCACTCACATTGCTAGTTATTAGTCTGTTCAGGATTTCTATTTCTTTCTGAGTCAAGCAAGAGAAGTTGTAGGTTTCCAGGATTTTTTTCATTTCCTCTAGATTTTCTAGGTTATGTGCATAGAGGAGCTCATAGTAGTCTCAAATGATCTTTTGTATTTCTCTGGTATCAGTTGTAATGTCTCCATTTTCTTTTTTAATTGGACTTACGTGAATTTTCTCTCTTCTTGGTTAATACAGCTAGTGATCTATCTATTTTGTTTATTTTTTCAAAACACCAACTTTTCATTTTATTAATCTTTTATATTGTTTCAATTTTGATTAGTTCTGCTCTTATCTTTGTTATTTCTTTCCTTCTGCTAACTTTGGGCTTGGTTGTCCTTGTTTCTCTAGTTCCTTGAGGTGTGCTGTTAGGTTGTCAATTTGTGATCTTTCTGACTTTTTAATGCTGGTATTTAGTGCTATAAACTTTCCTCCTAGCACTAATTTGGCTGCATCGCAGAAGTTTTCATATTTCTTTCAATGTTATCAGTAATTTCAAAATTTTTTTTAACATTTTCGTCTTGATTTCATTGCTAAGCCCAAAATCATTCATAAGCAGCCTGTTTAATTTCTGTGTTTTTGTATGAGTTTGAGTGTAATTTTTGGAATTGATTTCTACATTTATTCCACTGTGGTGAAAGAAGATACTTGATATACTTTGGATTTTTAAACATTATTGAAACTTTTCCTGTGGCCTATCATATGGTCTGTCTTGGAAGATGTTCCATGCGCTGATGAAGAGAATGTATATTGTGCACTTTTCAGGTAAAATGTTCTGTAAATATCTGTTAGGTCCATTTGTTATTGAATTCAGTTTAAATACGGTGTTTCTTTGTTGACTTTCTGCCTCAGTCATCTGTCTCATGCTGACGGTGGAGTGTTAAAGTCCCACACTATTACTGTGTTGCTTATTTATTATTTTATTGCTGTTTATTATTTTCTTAAGAGAAAAGAAATCACTACTACTATTTATCTAGTTATAATTTTTTTATGACTTTGGGAGCTGCACAGTTAGGTGCATACATATTCAGGATTGTTATGTTTTGTTGAATTGATACTTTTATTATTATGTAATAACTTTTTGTCTTTTTTTACAATTATTGTTTTAAAGTCTGTTTTATCTGATATGAGAATAGCTACTTCTGCTCACTTGTGGTTTCCATTTGTGTGGAATGTCTTTTTCCAGTACTTTCCCTTAAACCTATAAGAATCTTTATATGTTAGGTGGGTCTCTTGAAGACAGTAGATATACAGTTTGTGACCTTTTTTATCCACCCTGCCAATTTGTTATCTTTTAATGTAGCATTGAAACTATTTACATTTGACTTTAATATTGAGATATGAGGTACCATTCTAGTCATAGTGTTGATTGTTGCCTACTCGCTTTTTTTTCTTCATTGTTTTACTGTTTTATGATTTGAAGAGTTTCTATACTGGTGTGTAGTGACCTTATGTTTCAACATTTAGAACTTCTTTTAACATTTCTTGTAGGGCTAGTCCAGTGGTGACACATTCCCTCAGCTTTTGCTTGTCTAGGAAAGACTTTATTTTTCCTTCATTTATGAAACTTAGTTTTGCTGAATACAAACTCCTTTACTGATAGTTATTCTGTTTAAGGAGACTAAATATAGGACCCCAAACACTTCTGGCTTGTAAAGTTCCTGCTGAGAAGTCTGCTGTTAGTCTTATAAGTTTTCCTTTATATGTTACCTGATATTTTTGTCTCATTGCAATTAAAATTCTTTCTTCAATGTTGACTTTAGATAGCCTGATGACTATACACCTTGGTGATGTTCTTTTTATGATTAATCTCCTAGTAGTTATTTGAGCTTCTTGTTTTTAGATGTCTAAACCTCTAGCATGGCCAAGGAAGTTTTCCTGAATTATTTCTGGAAACAGATTTTCCAAACTTTTCGCTTTTTCTTCTCTGTCAGGCACACCTATGATTCTTAGGTTTGGATATCTTACATAATCCCATATTTCTTAGAGACTTTATTCATTTCTTTTATTTCCTTTTTTCTTTATTTTTGTCGATCAAGGTAAATACAAAAGACTTATCTGCAAGCTCTGAAATTCTTTCTTCTACTTGGTCTAGTCTAATGTTGAAACTTTCCACTGTATTTTGTAGTTTCCTAAATATGTCTTTTACTTCCAGAACTTCTGATTGATTTTTCATTAAAATATATGTCTCTTTAGAAACGTTTTCTTTTATATTATGAATTGTTTTGTTAATTTCTTTATGCTGGTTTTCAACTTTCTCTTGTACCTCATTGAATAACCTAATAATTATTCTTTTCATTTCTTTATCTCGTATTTTAAAGATTTCATTTTGGTTCATATCCATTGCTGGAGAGTTAATGTAATTTTTTTAGGGGGAGTTATATAATCCCATGTTTTCATATTGCTAGAATTATTTTTCTGGTTCCTTCTCATTTGGAAAGATTTTTTTAAATTTATTTTTGACTACACTGGGGTTTTTTAAAATTATTTTTCCTTTTGATGATGTGACACTAATTTTTAAAATTTATCTCCTATCTTTGACTCTGAGTGCATTCAGTGGCAAATACTCTATGTGAGTTCCTTGGTTATAGAGAATCTTTGTGCAGTTGCTTTCTCAGATACTGGTTGTAGCAGCAATGTTCTGGGTGTTTGAGTATGTTCACTGTCTCCTGTGGGGCCAGAATGGCAGAGGTCTCATGAAGCTTATATTGCTCCCCAGTAGTGTGCACTTTTAAAATTTCTTTTCCCCAATATTTTATTCATTGGATTGAACAGTTCAGGCTTCAGGCCTTTAGGAGGTGTCCACAGGTAAAAATAGACTATGGCTATAGCAGGGTAAATACAATATCCCAGTGATGGGAAGAAGTCCCAGCTTTGACAGCAGAAGCTGACAAAGCTCTCATTGAAGTGCACTGAGGTCTTTCAGGGAGAAGGGAAGGGAGCCACCTCAGCTCCCCTTCCAGGACAAGAGGAAGAGATCTACCTCCCTGTCACACTCCTGACCCAGTGTTATAGCTATTCAGATCAAATAGGCAACCATGTTCATCTTCAGGAATAGTGATGTTCCATTTTGAGATGGACTGTGACTCTACCATTCAGTCAAGCCTGAAACTGGAAGGCATTGCTCCTGCAGGAATGCAGTCACCCTGAAGTTTTCCAGAAAGTTCATCTACAGATGCACTCATGCCAAGCTTTTGGGGCCGAAGCCCCAGCTGTATCTGCAGTGATGGGTGATGGAAAGAAGAATTCCCCCTTTTCAAGACCCTTCACAACTGCAAGGGCTGCCTGACTGTTGGGATAGAACTACAGTCTTTCTCCACTGAGTCCAGCACTGCACCTGTGCCTCTGCTGAAAGAAACTTCCCATAAGCAGAATGTTCTGGGACTCAAGGCCTTAAGTGTGGTTTCTTTCATCCCATAGGGTTCTCCCTTGATGTATTGCACTCCAACTTCCCCTATGAGTAGCAGTCCCTGAGGTCCGGACTACTGTGAATCCTGCTGCCCTTCTGTGTATAGCTGCCCTATGGGGCTGCCATACTCCAGATTGGTGCTGGAGAATGTCTGCAAGGAATCCAGTGATGTGAAGATACAAGAGTTGAAGGACCCTGAGCAGAACAAAGTTTCACAATGAGTGCACACCCAGTATAGGGCCTGCTACTACAGCTCAGTTCTGGGGGGAAAGACAAGAACATTGTGTGAGCCAGGTAATGCCCTCAAGGAGGCCCCAGATCATAGCCTACTCCAGCATTTGTGCTTGTGCATGCAAGAAACCCTCCTTGAGCTTGGAAACCAGCAGTCTGCCACAGGGGCTAGAGAGTCTGAGAGCACTCCCACCCACCCTTTCCATGGAATACTACATCTCTCAGAGTTTGATCTCTGCCAGCTTCATGTTACTTTCTTTTTTTTTTTTTTTTTTTTTTTTTTGAGACGGAGTCTCGCTCTGTCGCCCAGGCCGGACTGCGGACTGCAGTGGCGCAATCTCGGCTCACTGCAAGCTCCGCTTCCCGGGTTCACGCCATTCTCCTGCCTCAGCCTCCCGAGTAGCTGGGACTACAGGCGCCCGCCACCGCGGCCGGCTAATTTTTTGTATTTTTAGTAGAGACGGGGTTTCACCTTGTTAGCCAGGATGGTCTCGATCTCCTGACCTCATGATCCACCCGCCTCTGCCTCCCAAAGTGCTGGGATTACAGGCGTGAGCCACCGCGCCCGGCCCATGTTACTTTCTTTTGTGCGTATGTGTACGTACTGTAACTTCTTCCAGTGAACTCTCCGATAGAATCTAGCACTCTCCTGGTAACATTCCATTTGGGCTATGATTATACACCATTAATTTTGGTTTTTCTTTCTAAGGAGAATTGGTCATCTTTGTCTCTTGCCAGCCAACTAGAGAAGCTCTCTAATGCCTCAGGCTGTGAATAGGTCTGCAGGATGTGCTGTGGCTTGGGCTCCACTCTTAGCTGCAGAAGAGTCAATGTTGGGTGGAGCTGGACCGAGCTGACATGTCCTGTAGTCCCCCAGCAGTGAGTACCAGCATCAGCTTTGCTGGGGGGTGGCAGGTGAGTGGTGTAGACTCTGAAAGATTTTATTGGTTTTATATAGCCTTAGCGTATTGGCTTTCTCAAGTGCCAGCTGTAGTCGTAATATACTGGGCACATAGACAGGCTCAAGACTTCCTGGTTAGCCAGGGTGATGTAGGCAATTGTAGTAACTGAGGTTGCACAGAAATTTTCTTCAACCTAAGCTCTGTGTTATCATGCCTGCAATGCTGCAATGGGCTGTGGTGATTGGCCTTCAGCCAGGAGGTGATTCTTGCAAAAGGGTGCCAGCTGGAGTGGTAGCAGTGGGATTTGTGCTTGCCTTATGTTACTTAGGGGAGGTACTCTGGTGTCTTAGGCAAGAGGTGGGGCTTTGGAGCTTTCAAGCATCTCTCTCTATTGTATAACATTACTAGGACAGGTGGAGGGGCAAAGTTGGGTGGGGGCTGGGTTAGGCAAGGTGTGTCCTGGCTCCCCATGTATGGATGCAAGCAGTGGTTTCAGTGGGGATCAGAGGGCAGTTCCTTGGCTGCTGGGGTAATATTCCAAGGAGAAGCACAGCACAAAATTCTCTGCACTGGGAAAGAGAGGGTACCAAGCAGCTGCCCCACTCAGCTCCCACGTATTTAATAAGGCAGGTCTCACACCTGAGGTATTCTACTAGCAACAACTAGCTGGGTTCCAGGCAGCCTGTGCTCAGAATGCAAAACTGCCCAAGGCCACAAGGCTTCTCCACTGAGACAAAAACTGCCAGCTTTCAGGCCACACCCCTCCTGATTTACTAGCAAAGCAGGGGCACCCAGCTCCTGCGTGGCTACAGCACACTTTTTGCTCATCCCTTAGTTTTGGACAAGGGGTTAGTCACCACTCAAGTTTATATCATAAATCTCAGTTGGGAGCTTCTCTCAGTTTGTGACCACCACCTAAGTTATCCGGCAGACTTCCAGGAGTTCTCCTATTGAGACGGAAAGGGGGAAGGGAAGTTCTGGGAAGGGAAGGGAGTGGTCCCTGGTCAGGGTTCCATCCTGGGCCTGTGGCCATGGACCTAGGTGAGGACAGGCACCCCTGCCTTCGGACCAAAATGTTGCATTTCCCAAGACCACCTTGGCCTGCCACGTCCCCATCCTGTGCCTATAAAAACCTCAAGACCTTAGTGGCTGGACGTTGAGGGAGCACGCCAATGGAAGAGCATACTGACAGATGCCAGCACACTGGCAGGCAGTGGACTGGCAGAATGACGTGGAGTTTGGCTGGGGCAGTTGGAGCAGAGCCCAGGCTGTTGAGCCGCCACACTCCAGGGGAAAACCATCTCCCTTCTGGCTCCCCCATCTGCTGAGAGCTACTTCCACTCGATAAAACCTTGTACTCATCCTCCAAGCCCATGTGTGATCTGGTCCTTCTGGTACACCAAGGCAAGAACCTGGGGGTACAGAAAGCTCTCTGTCCTTGTGATAAGGCAGAGGTTTAATTGAGCTAACACAAGTCCCAAGTCCCCGTGGATGGCTAAACTAAAAGAGCACCCTGTAACACCCCCACTGGGGCTTCAGCTGTAAACATTCACCCCTAGACACGGCTGTGGGGTCAGAGCCCCACAGCCTGCCCTTCTGTATGCTCCACAAGAGGTTTGAGTAACGGGTCACTGAAGAAGCTAGCCACACTTCCATTGCGCACCCTGTGACAGGGATGAGGGAACTTCCCATTTCACTGTGAGTTAGTATCAGGAATGGCTTCCCTCCCTGCTGGGGTCTGGGAGTGCATGTAAAGCGTGCCCCTATTCTACTTCTTCTCATATACTTACCACAGCTGATTAAGTCAGCACCAGCACAGTGCAGGGGCAAGGTGCTGTCACGTGGCCTGGATTACCCAGCTCCCTAGTGGGACTGTACATGATGGAGACAGTCTCTCCCCGTTTCATGCTCTCGAGACACGGCTTTCCGCCTCGCTGACGGTGTAGGCTGCTGCCCACCACTTCTTTCAAAGTCTCTGTGTTTTCTTTCAGTTTTTCCTTTGAGGTCCTGTGTTGCTTTTTGGTTAAAAGTTCACAATGCGAATCTCTACACACTATTTTGTCTTTCCAAGTAGAAAAGACAGGCTAACAATGCCTCTAATCCACCTCTTGGGGGGAAATAAAAACCTTGGCTTCACTATTAATGATCATAGTGATCCTAATATGGGGTCCCCTTCATATCTAGTCCCAGAGTCTTTACACTCTAAAATGAATAGTTTGTATTTAGTAATCTAACAGATATTGTTTGCTCTCTTAAGCTCTGATTCTCAGGATTTCCAGGAATTGTTTTTTGCCCTTGGCTAGTGAAAAAATGCTTTGACTCACCCTCCCCATTACTTAAGTAAAGTTTAGTGCGATGTCTAAAGCTATGAAACATGCCCCAGTGGAGCCATGTGGTCTTTCTGTAAGGACCCTGACAACGTTCTCTATGGTACCCCTTCTGAAATTGCCATCCTTGAGCCAGTAACCTACATGAAGATGAAGACTGCCATGGATGATGAAGCTTTATAGATAAAATGTGATAAAGCCATTGGATTTAGCTACCTAAAGAAGAAGTGGGAGAAGGTTGGTATGTTCTGCTGACGTGGTGCTTAGAGAGGTGACTCCCAGGAAACACGGGTGTTCAAGAGACTGTGCTACAATATATTTCACTACTAGAGAAGAACACCTTAAGTACAGTGAAATCATACTTTGTTCATCTCTGTGTCCCTACTGTCTAGAATAACACCTATATTACAGTGAGTGTTCCATGAATATGTATAGAAAAGAGAAAAAAAAACAGAGATTAAAAAAATAAAAAGGAAGTGAAGGTAATAGAAAGGCTGAGAAAAGAAAGGAAGAGAAGAACTCAGCACAAGTCATCACATGTTCTTTGTAGTAATCCATCCTTTCCTAAACTAGAAGACCTTCACATTGCTAGACTTGACCAAAGAATTTTCTTTTTTTGGTCTGTCTTCTTATCAAAGACATCCATCAGCTCCTGTACAGACCATCCTTCCTCCATCAAAAGGATGAGAAAAACCTTGATCTGTCTGATTCAGAGACCACGTGTGTTTCTCACATTGCCTACTTGAGAGGGTGCTCTTCTAGGGATGACTAATCTTCTGGGTGCTTTTTTGCCAAAATACTACTCTGGTTCCCAGTTTCCTGTGTCAAGTTACAAACAATTTGTCATTCCTGCAGTCACACTTTTCAGACCTGTCAATTCTGCTAAAGAGCCATTTTATCAGTACGGTTTTCTACTCCCTAAGCAATGTTTGGATTTTCTACTTCCATGCAAGCAATTTTTCACATCTTAAGTTTTCTCACAAGTTTCAACTCAAAAACAATCCTAATTCTGCTTTAATTCTTCTTTCATTGAAAATTTCTCTGTAGTCGGAGGATTAATGTCCAAACTTCTGCTATTACATCTTTTCTCTGTTTTGACACAAAAGGTCTTCCAGCAGAATCAATTATGCTTAATTTAAACTTTGACAACAAATTTCTTTTTGAATTATATGTAAAAGGGGTAATGAAACTGCTGCTTGTGTTGTTGACTATGTCTGTGGTGTGATAAATAAAGTTTCCTACCTTCTCTGCACTGTACCCCAGTGCCAAAGAGATCAGAAAGAATAGGAAATGGGAAAGGACACTAAACCTAGAGAAGAGATTAGATTGATCTCTGACATTTCCTCTTCACATACACACACACACAGACACACACAAACACACACACACACACTTCACTGCATCTTTTAGATAAATTAATCAGTTTATTTGAATCATAAATTCCTTTTCCATGGAGATTATATTGTACGTCCTATTTTTCCTATGAGATATATTAAAAACTAAAACAACTAAAAATACTCTGAACTCTCTTGTTGAACTAAAATTTTATGTAAATGAGTTAGTAAACTGAATTTCTGCTTTATAAATAATTAAAATTCATACTACAGTGGGTGTTTTCTCTTCATTATAATTGCTAATTCTTTTAAGTAACTTATTTTCTAATTATTGAAATTCTTTAAATTGAGATACACTTGGACCAGCATTCCAAACTTGTTTATAAGTGACAAAAATATTAGTGGGATATTGCCATTAACTCTTCTAAATGCAATTTGCAGCTGTCAAATTCTTCTCTAGACTATAAACAAACGTTCCTGGGGGTGCTTTGCCACCCTACAAATACAACTTCTTGTAAGGGATAGAGTTGCATGAGATAATACACACACACGATAACATACAACTGTACTTAAAAATACATATATATATATTCCCATAAGAGCAAGGTGATAGCCACTTGGAGGATTCCAACGGAACAACTGGTACAGAAACTACTTTTGCCTTGAAATCATCTGTGCATTCAAGTAATAATAATAAAAATAATGATAAAAATAATAAAATAATAATGTTTGCCAAAGTTTGCAGGGAAGCAAAGGAAGTGGTAGCATGCTTGAATGGAAAACATCATTTACCTAGTACTGAGAAGACCTGTGGCATTCTTAGCTACAGCATTATTCAATGTGAATCCATTTCAAATCTCAGGCTTCAGTCTCCTCATCCAGAAGACTGGTGGGGAATTGAAGAGGTTACAAACAAATCTAACTTTAGAAAACCTTAAAATTGAATTTTGTGTGTGTATGTGTGTGTGTGTATGTATATTTCTTTTGTTTGTTTGTTTGTTTTTTGTTTATTTTATTTTATTATTATTATACTTTTAAGTTTTAGGGTACATGTGCACAATGTGCAGGTTAGTTACATATGTATACATGTGCCATGCTGCTGTGCTGCACCCATTAACTCGTCATTTAGCATTAGGTATATCTCCTAAAGCTATCCCTCCCCCCTCCCCCCACCCCACAACAGGCCCCAGAGTGTGATGTTCCCCTTCCTGTGTCCATGTGTTCTCATTGTTCAGTTCCCACCTATGAGTGAGAATATGTGGTGTTTGGTTTTTTGTTCTTGCGATAGTTTACTGAGAATGATGATTTCCAATTTCATCCATGTCCCTACAAAGGACATGAACTCATCATTTTTTATGGTTGCATAGTATTCCATGGTGTATATGTGCCACATTTTCTTAATCCAGTCTATCATTTTTGGACATTTGGGTTGGTTCCAAGTCTTTGCTGTTGTGAATAGTGCCACAATAAACATACGTGTGCATGTGTCTTTATAGCAGCATGATTTATAGTCCTTTGGGTATATACCCAGTAATGGGATGGCTGGGTCAAATGGTATTTCTAGTTCTAGATCCCTGAGGAATCGCCACACTGACTTCCACAATGGTTGAACTAGTTTATAGTCCCACCAACAGTGTAAAAGTGTTCCTATTTCTCCACATCCTCTCCAGCACCTGTTGTTTCCTGACTTTTTAATGATTGCCATTCTAACTGGTGTGAGATGGTATCTCATTGTGGTTTTGATTTGCATTTCTCTGATGGCCAGTGATGGTGAGCATTTTTTCATGTGTTTTTTGGCTGCATAAAAAAATTGAATTTTTTAAAAAGATAATTAAAATGTCAACAGGACTCTCTAATTAATCAGTTTATTTGAGTGAAATTAGTAACTTCAAATCACACAAATTACTTTTATAATCTTTGTTTTAAAGAAAAAAGTATATAAGCTTCCAAGTTGAAAAAAAAAAAAAACATTCCAAAGGGCTAAATTCATAGGTAACTTCTGAATTCATGAAATTGTGTTCAATTTCCAATATAAAATGAATGTGACCAAAAAGGACTGATATATTTAGTCTGCCTGTCAATTAAATTCAAGCACAATGTAGATAATATTCTAAATCAGAAAATTCTACAAGATTATCTCTTCAAATATCGAGAAGTTATCTAAGGGCCTTATACAATGGTGCAGTGCATTTAAAATCTTATAGCCTGTTATAAAGAGTAGTAATTACTAATTGGTAGAGTGTGTATATTATTTGATCAATCAGCTCAAGATTCCAAAAAGATATTTCAGCTCTAAATAATAAGATGAAGAAAGAAACAAATATTTGCTAAAACTAATTACCTGTCACCTACTTATTAGGCATTATCTCATCTAACCTTCATGGTAATCCTAGGCTTATATTTATTTTAATGGTAAGAACATTGAGGATTAGAGATATTAAATCATTTGTTCTAGGGCTCACAATCTGTGGGTAAATGCTTGAAATTGTATTCTAGGCGACAGCTCCATCTGGCATAAATTATCAAATTTGTTTTGATATTAGAATGGTCTACACCACACTTTCTAAAGGTAAGAAAACACAGCTTGACCATCTTTATATTTTCATCATTGTCTCAGCCATTTGTGATTTCAAAGGGGTGAAGCTTTTCTAGATCTTTTTAATCTCCTGGGAGTGGGACTCTGATGTTGGCAATGCATTCGATTCCTCACCATCATAAACTTCAGACTCTGCAATTTTCTGTAGCTTTTATCTTCATCCAATTTTTCGAGCAGATGCCAGTTGCATAAGCAGTATCTACAGCCATTGCTCAGCAAATTCTTCCTCAATTTTACAGCATCAACTGCTTTCTATGTTTCTTACTTATGGTCAAGTTTGTAGGAACCATAATGTTGAATTTATTCCAAAAGAATGCTCAGCCACCCCCTTGTACTTCCGTGCCTGAAGAAAACTTGCAGCACTGGTATACTGCCTGTATGTCGGGGTTTCTTCTGGCAGGAAGGATACAGATAACTTATTGGAAATATAAAGCTTCATTGAGCTCCTTCCCTCAGAGAGACTCACAATAGTCTTTCCCTGAGACAACTGGATGCACTCCACTTTTAATCCTTCTTCAACAATGTTACGAAAAGAGGTTTAACAAAGAGAAGGAGTGTCAACAACTATTAGACCTATTTATTGTTGTTGGAGGCTAATAGGCCTAGTCCCTTAAGATATCTAATGAATCTTTAGCAGGCAGCATAAAACATCAGGAATATGTCTATAAGGAATAAACAAATAAATAGTGAGATTCTATTGTCTCCCATTGTTCCTATAAACTACCAATCCTCTCCCATAATATGTGTAAATACACTCTTGAATCTACTCTTGGAATTAACAGCTGAACCCAGTCTCATCATACTGATATACCAGATCTCATTATGCTAATAGCCCAGCATTAGTGTTTATTCTTATTCTTTCAATTCTGCTATTTCCTTAGATTTTGGCCCTTATTTTTATTCTATCACCAGGCTTATGACCCCTTGACTATATTGACAAAACTGTTTCTTCCTACAGATTTATTCTTATGGCTACCCTCCCAGAAACTCTGTGTGTGTGTGTGTGTGTGTGTGTGTGTGTGTGTGTGTGTGTGATTCAATGGTGGCAGGTGTAAAAATTATAAAAATTATTGTTTACCCAGAGCTTGCAATAAATTAGAAAACAATGACTCTATATAAAGGGAATACCTGGGATTTGATATCAGGCAATCGTAGACTTGAGTTGGGTTTACAAAACATTTTTTGTATTTTGGCTAGATAGTAAATATTATAGACTTTGTGCACCACATGATATCCGTTACAACTATTCAACTCTGCTATTGTGCTATGAATGTTGGCATACATAATGCATATGTGAACGGTCATGGTTATGTTCCAATACAACTTTATTTACAAAAACATGAAGTGAGTCAAATTTGGCCTTTTGGAAGTAGTTTACAGAACCTTTTCTTACAGGAATTAGGGTTCAGGGTTGTATGACATCCTGCTTCAAGAAAAAACTGGGTCACTAGATCTGTCCTAGGGCAAACATGTTTAAAGTCCCAGAAGACAAATAGTCATTTTCCAGTCAACAAAAAGGAGAGTGTGATGCCAATCTATGCAAAATAACAAGTTTTTGTGAGTTTGGAATATCTGGACAGTGCAAGTAATTTGATTTAGCTGTAGAACAGAATTTGTGTGGGTAACATTAAGAAGACCAGATGGGGTTTGATGTAGCCAATAAATGACATTCTCTTGTGTTCCTCTTGAAATAGACACCATTAGGTTAGATAACGAATACATTAAAATGGATCACTACATATTAGTTTTATTTTCAATAAAGGCTGGAGTACAAGACAGCTTATAAGTACAGTCAGCACTGGGCATTTCAATATTTATTCAACTTTTATCACCAAAACACTCCAACACACACACATACACACACACACACAAACTTAATAGGAACTTTGAAATGCTTGAAATGTAAAGGAAAAAAAAAAGAGTCTCTGTCTCCCCGTTGTCAGGGCTAGGGGTGTGGTAGAGGGAATAGTATAACTGTCAACCAAATTCCTTGCCTTGGGGATTTGAGATTGATTTTCTCTACCAAATACAGAAAGGTGAACCGGTGACTGTACCTACCAACAGAGTGACTCCCTATGTCCACAGAGAGGAAAAACAAGTGGAACAAGAGGATAGAAATGTCTATGGGGGAAAATATTTCTTCCATACTAGAGAAGAGAAACTAAATATCCCCTACCACCTACAGCATGCAGATGTTAAATATGAAATCCCTTGGGAAGTATATTGAATAATCTATTCCTTGCTACATCCGATATAAAAAATCCTAAAGTAGATACATTATGTTAAAATGATTTATATTGTTAATTTCTCATAGCGAAGAATTTGTGACTTTGTGTTAAATCTATTAACACAATCCCTGTTACTAATATCTGTCCAAGTGGTTTGATGATGAGAAAATGCCATCCAAAATCTCCAACCCATCTGAAACGATTTAAAAGCAAGCAAAATCATCATAAAAGATCTAAGAGTTACTATTCTCTTAGACATGCATTTAAAGTCCCTAAGGGAAGCTTTTAATTTAATGTTTCACATTAAAAACTAGCCTTGAATTGTGCATTTGCCTTTGAGCCACTGAAAATAAATAAAAAGTGTGCCATACATCTTAGTCAAGTATTCTCCATTAACAAATGCATTCAAGTACCTCAGCCTCGTTGTTTGTCCCCTGGATTTCAGAAGAATTTGTTACATTTACTCCCAGTCGCCCCTGATTGAAATTCTGGAGGACTACCATTAAACATACATCATAAAAGATTTTTTTTACTAGATCAAAATTCCCTTTTTCCCTTCAACAAAATAAGGTGATGAAATTCCTTAAAACTGCTAAGCTTTCCAAATCCAAACCTTCACATCACTGGTTTTAAAAATATTCAGGAACTCTAACAGCTGTGTGTGACTGAAATGCAACAGACAAATCACAGCTCTGGCATTTTGCAGTAGGCAAAAAAGGTGCTTATTATAAAAGGATGTTCTGTCTGTCCTATAGGAAAGGTGAGTATAAGTTTACTAGCACCTATTTTTTGTTCATTTATTCATTTTTCAAACAATTTTTAATGTCTAAAAAGTGACAGAAGATAATCACCTAGATGGAAATACAGACATGAAAACAAACAAAAACATAATACAAAATGCTAAGCATCAAAATATTGTCTAAACAACCTTGATTTCTAATAGTAATATTTTCTTGGAAACAAGGTTACATAGAAATAATGGTTTCATCTAGTTTTTCATTCATTTACCAAATATTTATTACTGGCTCCCGTGCCAGGCACTTGCTAAACTCTGGGGATAAAACTAAGTAGAGAGAACTTTTATCTTCGGGCAGTGTATAATTCAACACAGTGATTACAATCTTTTACTTTTTATCACACACTGAAGAGCAAGATATTTTTAAATGGTAACAAAAATACATATATATGTATTTGTGAAGAAAATGTATACATTTACATCTCATAACATAAATACTCTGTAAAGCATTTGCCATATGCCAAAATGCAGTAAAATACATAGTAAGATGAAATTGTCTTTAAAATATTGTTTTATATATTAACATTATACATGCTTTGATATCACTATTAATATAATGAATATATTTGTGTAAGTAATTATATCACACCACTTATTCAAGTAATAATATGTTTAGTGAGAACAAATGTGTTTGTAATGTTTATTTTTAAATGCTTTGTATGATAGAAGTATTTAAAGATCTGACTCCAATTACAGTTTCTCTTTTATTAACTTTAATGTCAACAATAAGCCCAACAAGATACGTTTGTGTGTGTGTGTGTGTGTCTGTGTGTGTACATGATACCTAAACTCATGATATCTGTTCTCCATTTATGTAATTGGGAGTGGGCCTCACTTAATAAATGCCAGTTTCCTATGATATTAAACAATGATTGCTTTTAGAATCCAATGAACTTTTAGAAATACTTATTAAGCAGAAATTATATTTTCTGTGTATTTGTTTCCCTTTTCTTATCCTTTTTTTGTAACATGTACATATATGAGGGTTTAACAGAAAATACATACATTTACAAGAACAAAATTCCATAACTATGGGGAATATTTCCAAACAGTTGGTTTTGATTCTCTTTCAGTCTGAATTTAATTTTTAAAGTATTAGATTTATCATTTACTGCTTAAAATATCACCTTTATTTTAAGACTTTTAAATTGTAAGTGCTCCCCATATAGGCCTCAGCACCTTAGCAGCCTTGTGTAGGGCTGCAACACTCATACCCAGGGAAAGGGGAGATAGATCAAATGCTGTGGAATGGAGAAGAGAGTCTTGAAAAAAAATCTCTAAAAATTAAAAAGGAGGAGGTCTAGGATGCAGTGTAGTCCCAAGGGAAAAGATTGTCTGTGATTATATGAGAAAGCAACCTCCACAACCTCAGACTATAGGTTGTAGCTTTGAACAGGGTACTAAGTATAGCACATGTCATGGGGAATGGGGCAGCCTTGGGAATCTGAGATTCTCTGGCAGAAGAAAATGGTACCATTGGAAGAGTCAGGGAGCTAGTGTCCCGTATGCTGAAATGATGCAACAAGCTCTCAGGTAGTACCCAATTCAAGAGTTGATTTCTTCACCCAGAAACAGAACTAGTACATTGGTTCCCCAGGGTGTCTTCAATGTCAACAGCCATAATTGTGTTACGTATTTGCTCTCATGGAAGCTACGATCTCTGACATGAATGCCTAGCATTGCAATTACCTATTCAATTTCCTTTTCCAGATAAATAAAGCCTTCATGAAGGGCCAGGTCTGTGTACGACTCTCTCCAAGCCCACTCCCTTTATAAAAAAAAAAGGGTTCCAAAATATTTATTGGATTGACAATTTAAATATATTTTCATTGATAGTTTGGATTTTCTTTTATTGAATATAAGATACTCTTCTTAGAGATAATCTACCTTGAGAGTACTTCATCAGTTTTCACTCTTTTAGTCAATAATGACAAATAAATAAATATAATTATACCCATAGCAATACCAACTGATATGGTTTGGCTGTGCCCCACCCAAATCTCATCTTGAATTGTAGCTCTCACAATTCCCATGTGTTGTGGGAGGGACTGGTGGGAGGTAACTGAATCATAGGGGTGGGGCTTTTCCTTGCTGTTCTAGTGATAGGGAGTCTCATGAGATCTGATGGTTTTATAAAGGGGAATTTCCCTGCACAAGCTCTCTTCTCTTGTCTGCTGCCATGTGAGACATGCCTTTCACCTTCTTCCCTGATTGTAAAGTCTCCCCAGCCACGTGGAACTGTGAGTCCATTAAACCTCTTTTTCCTTACAAATTACCCAGTCTCTGGTATGTCTTTATCAGCAGTGTGAAAATGGAGTAATACACCAACAAACTCAACCAAATAAGCTTAAGCAAAAAGGAAAATTTTCTTTAGCTCAGGTAGCAGACAGATCCAGGTTGAGGATGTGACTGGATACAAGGGTTCTGATAACATCCACAGATCCAGTTTCTATCTCCCATTTGCAATTTTTCAGGTTGACTCTATTCTCCTTGTATTGTGAAAAAAGCTGGCAAAAGAAACTTCAATTCTACATTGTCAAAATTGGAAATCTAGTGCAGAAAGACACTTTTCAAGAAGTACCAGCAAATCTGATCATATGTTTATGTGTCATGGATTTAAGCCTGAAACAATCACTGCAGCCACAGGATGGTATTATGCTTATTTAGGATCAATTCCTAAAGAAAAATTGAAGGCTATTGCTATATAACTAGGGAAATGAATGCTGCTGAAGTACCAGCATAATATCCCTTGTAGAACAGAAAAATAACATCTTTAAACCACATATATTGTCAAGCGCTAAGTTTCTTTGTAATTGTTATAATTCTTCCAAATTTCTGCAGTTGCGGGTGTTTTTCACTAATGATGTTTTACTGCCAAATACACCATATGTTGGTATTCTCTAACAACCACTCTTAAGAAAAGGAGAGCTAAGGGGGCAGCAAGAGCCATTTAAACCCACTTACACTGAAACTGGATTCTTTACTGTCACACAGCTGATACTGACATATGTGCTAGAATTCCTTTCTGAAATGATGAAATTGTTTTGACAAGTCTTAAAGCTAGAGTAATTTTTACAACTCCAATGGCTATTATTTCCAGATACACTATGATTTGCAGCTATCTATACCTCTCTTGATACAAAAAATTCATAGAAAAGGAAAAACATAAAACTCCTTTCATTCTATTGTATTTACCTCAAGTTTTATGTACTTAAAATCTTTGTTAACTCTAATCTTAAAATATATTCTAAGCTTCAATAATTCTTTGATCTTTAATATAACCAGTTTATTTTTATCGTATTGTGGTAAGAACACTTAACATGAGATCTACACTCTTAGCAAGTTTTTGAGTGAACAATACTTTATTTTTTACTACAAATAGGTCCAATATTGTGCAAAAGATCTCCAAATCATATTAATCTTTCTTGACTGAAACTTTAAGACCATTGATTAATAATTTCCCATTTCTCCCTATCTCAGGCCCCTGGTAACAACTATCCCACTCTGATTTTATAAATTTAACCATTTTAGATGCCTTATATAAGTAGAATTATGCAATATTTGTCTTGATGTGACTGGCTTATTTCACATATATAATGTCCTAAAAGTTCATTTAAGTTCATATTTTAAATGGTTTTTTTTTCTTTTTCATGCTGAATAGTATTCAATTTTACCATATTTTCTTTTTTTAATTATTTTAATTTTATTTTAAGTTCCAGGATACATGTGCAGAACAGTCAGGTTTGTTACATAGGAATACATGTACCATGGTGGTTTGCCGCACCTATGGACCTGTCCTCTAAGTTTCCTTCCCTCAACTCCCACCCTGCAACAGGCCACGGTGTGTGATGTTCCCCTCCCTGTGTCCACATGTTCTCATTGTTCAACTCCCACTTATGAGTGAGAATATATGGTGTCTGGTTTTCTGTTCCTGTGCTGGTTTGCTGAGGATGATGGCTTCCAGCTTCATCCATATCCCTGCAAAGGACATGATCTCGTTCCTTTTTATGGCTGCATGGCATTCCATGGTATATATGTACCATATTTTCTTTATCCAGTCTATCAGTGATGGGCATTTGGGTTGGTTCCAAGTCTTTGCTATTGTAAATAGTGCTGCAATAAGCATACATGTGCATGTGCCTTTAAAGTAGAATGATTTATATTCCTTTGGGTATACACCCTGTAATGGGATTGCTGGGTCAAATGGTACTTCTGGTTCTAGGCCCTTGAGGAATCACCATACTGTCTTCCACAATGGTTGAACTAATTTACATTCCCACCAACAGTGTAAAAGCATTCTTTTTCTCCACAGACTTGCCAGTATCTATTGTTTCTTGACCTTTTAATAATTGCCATTCTGACTGGCATGAGATGGTATCTCATTGTGGTTTTGATTTGCATTTCAGTGATGTTGAGCTTTTTTTTTATATGTTTGTTGGCCACATAAATGTCATCTTTTGAGAAGTGTCTGTTTATATCCTTTGTCCACTTTTTGATGGGGTTGTTTGTTTATTTCTTGTAAATTTGTTTAAGTTCCTGGTACATTCTGGATATTAGATCTTTGTCAGATGAGCAGATTGCAAAAATTTTCTCCCACTCTGTAGGTTGCCTGTTTACTCTGATGATAGTTTATTTTGCTGTGCAGAAGATCTTTAGTTTAATTAGATCCCATTTATTAATTTTGGCTTTTGTGGAAATTGCTTTTTTTTTTTTTTTTTGTCATGAAGTCTTTGCCCATGCCTGTGTCCTGAATAGTATTGCCTAGGTTTTCTTCTAGGGTTTTTATGGTTTTGGGTTTTACATTCAAGTCTTTAATCCACCTTGAGTTTTTTCTGTTTAAGGTGTAAGCAAGGGGTCCAGTTTCAGTTTTCTGCATATGGCTAGCCAGTTTTTCCAGCACCATTTATTGAATAGGGGATCCCCTTTCTTTACCTTTTCATCTATCAATGAACATCTAGGTTGTTTCCACATCTTGGTTATTTTGGCCAATAATGCAATGAACATAGGAATGCTATTATCTCTTGGAGAACTTGATTCTCATTCTTTTGGATAAATAACCAGAAGTGAGATTGCTGGATTATATGATGGTTCTCTGTTTGCTTTTTTGAAGAACTTCCATACCGTTTTCTGTAGCAGCTGCATCATTTTGCATTCCCATTAACAATGTGCAAGGGTTCCAGTTTCTATACATTCTTGCCAACACTTGTGTGTGTGTGCGTGTGTGTGTATGTGCGTGTGTTTTAATACCCATCTTGACAGGTCTTAGTTAATATCTGGTAGTTTGATATGCAAACAGAAGATTAGTGACCTTGTGCATTTTTTATATACCTGATGCACATTTGTATGTCTTCTTGGGAGTGATAGCTATTCAAGTTCTTAGCCCATTTTTTTTTAAACTGGGTTATATGATTTTTCGCTACCGAGTTTTAGGAGTTCCCTATATATTTTGTATATTAACCCCTTATCAGATGCATGACTAGCAAATATTTTCTTCCATTCTGTGGTTTATCTTTTTACTCTGTTGATTGTTTCTTTTGCTACGTAGACAATTTTTAGCTTGATGTAGTCCCATGTTTGTTTATGTTGCTTGTTTTTGGTGTCAGCTATGAAATCATTGCCAAGATCAATGTCATGAAAGATTTCCCCTCTGTTTTCATCTATTAGTTTTATAGTTTCATATCTTATGATTAAGTATTTAATCCATTTTGAGTTGGTTTTTGCATATTATATAAGATAAAAGTATAATTTCATTACTTTGCATCTAGATACCCAGTTTTTCCAATGCTATTTCTTGAAGTAACTACACTTTCCTTATGCGTATTCTTTGCCTCTTCATTGAAAATTAGTTGACTGTATTCATAAATTTATTTCCAAGAGCTCTATTTTATTCCAATGATCTATATGTCGGTGTTTATGCCAGTATCATACTGTTTTGATTATTTTAGTTTTATAATTTTTTTTAATAAAAAGAAAAGTGTGCCACCTTCAGCTTTGTTCTTCTATATCAAGGTTGATTTGGCTATTTATGGTCATGTGGATTTTGAATGTTTTTTCTGTTTTTTGAAAAATATCATTGGAATCTGATAGGGATTAAATTGAATCTGTACATCGTTTTGAGTAGTATGGACATATTAATAATACTGTCTTACAATTCATGAACATGTCTTTTCATTTCCTTGTGTCTTGTTTAATTTGTTTTATCAGTGTTTTGTAGTTTTTATTACTTAAGTCTTTCATCTCTTTAATCAAGTTTTTTTTCTAAGTTTTTTTTGTTTTGATGCTATTTTCATTAGGAATGTTTTCCTAATTTCCTTTTAAGATTGTTGGTTAGTTTATAAAATTGCAACTGATTTTGCATCTTGAATTTGTATTATGAAATTTTACCAAATATTTTTATTAGTTCTAAACTTCTTTTCTTTTCTTTTTTTTTTTTTTTTGTCTTTAGAGCTTTCTTTATATGAAGTTATATTGTCAGCAAACAAGAACAATTTTACTTCTTCATTTCTTATTTGGATGTCTTTTATTTCTTCTTCTAGCCTAATTGCTTTGGCTAGGACTTGCAGTACTTTGGTGAATACAAGTGGCAACAGTGGGCATCTTTGTCTCATGCCTAATCATAGAGGGAAAATTGACTTTTTCCACAATTAAGTATGGTGTTAGCTGTGGGCTTTTTGTATATGGCCTTTATTACTACACTGAGGTAAGTTTCTTTAATTCTAAGGTTTTAGAGTGTTTGTATCGTGGTGATTGCTATATTTTTTCAAATGCTATTTCTACATCTGTTGAGACAATGATATAATTTTTATTCTTTATGTTAATGTGGCATATCACATTAATTGATTTTTCATATACTGAACCATCCTTGCATACCAGGAATAAATCCCACTCAGTCATGGTGTATAATCATTTTAATATGCTGCTGAATTCAGTCTTGCTAGTATTTTCTTGATAATTTCGGCATCAATATTAATTATGGATATTGATCTACAGTTTTATGTTTTTCTGGAGTCTTTGTCTTCCTATGATATCAGGATATACTGGCCTCATAGAATGTGTTTGGAAGTATTACTTCCTCTTCAATTTTTGGAAGAGTTTGAGAAGGATTGAAATTTGTTCTTTAATTATTGATGTAATGCATCAGTGATGCCATCTGGTCCTGGACTTCTATTTGTTGGGAGGTTTTGATTACTGCTTAAATCTCCTTAGTTGCTATTAGGCTGTTCAAACTTTCTGCTGCTTCTTGATTTTGTCTTAGGAAGTTGTATCTATTTTTCTAGGTTATACAGTTTGTTGGTATATAATTATTTATAATAACCTCTTATAATCCTTTTTATTCCTTTGGCATCAATTGTAATGTCTTTTCATTTATTTCTGATTTTATTCATTTTAGTATTCTATCTTTCTTATTTAGATAGTCTAGTTAAGGGTTTGCCAATTTTATCATTCCTAAAAACCAATTATTATTGCTTCTTGGTCTTTTGGCTAAGATTAAATGTAAAAATCAGCTCAGCTTCATTACTTTGTTTGGAAAATATTTTGTTGCTTTTGGCTTAAATGTTTGTTATTTACTTGCTTCTGCGACCTTTGGGCTTAGTTTGTTCTTGTTTTACAGCCCTTGAATTATAAAGTGAGGTTATTTGTGGTATTTCTTATTTATTTTAGAGAATTGACTAGCCTTTAAATTTTGAAATAACTTTGGAATTACAGGAGTTACAAAAATGGTACAAAGAATTCCTGTATAAACTTCGGATTCCTTAAATGTTAACATTTTGCCACATTTACTTTAGTCTGTTTTTTTCTGAAATATTTGACAGTATGTTGTAGATGCAATGCATTTTTGCTCTGGAATAAGTCTGTGTATATTTTCCCAAAAACATAACTGCAGTACAAAAATCAAGAAATTAATATTAATACAGTGCTACAAACCTTACTGAATTTTTTCCAATTTTCCCACTATTGTGCTTTCTACTTTTTTAATGTAGGCTTTTATCACTATGAACTTCACTCTTCATACTGCTTTTTCTGCATCCCATGTTTTGTTATGCTGTGTTGTTATTTTTGTTTGCTTCAAATTATTTTCTAATTTCCTTTTTTATTTATTCATTGATCCAATGGTTATTCAACACTGCATTACTTTTCACTTATTTATGAATTTTCCACTTTTTCCTTTGTTGCTGATTTCTTGATTAATTTCATTATGGTTGGAAAAGATACTTGGTATGATTTCAATCTTCTTAAATTTTAGACTTTTTTATGGCTTAACATGTCATCTATACTGGGAAATGTGTCATGTTTGCTTAAGAAGACTATGTATTCTGCTGTTGAGTAGAGTGTTTTGTATATGTTTGTTAGATCCATTGCTTTAAAAATCCAGCTTAAAATAGTAAATTTGGCTTACATGGATCTAAATAATCTGCAGCATACTTTTCTCTGCAGCATAATTTCAAATCATTCTACTATGTCTCATTATATCCCAGTCATCCTGGTCTTCCCTTTATTTTCAAACAGTCTAAGCTTATTTCTACTTCTTTCTGGGGGCATTGTATGTTCCGTTCCTATAGCTTAGATGACTCCTTGCCATCATTTAGAATTAAATTGTAAAGCATTTACATTGGGACACCTTTCTTAGTGTTTCATAATATCATTGTACCCTGAACTTTTCTTCTGTAGCCCTTGTACAACTGTAATGACATCATTTTATGTACTTTCGCATGCTTACTTCCTGCCACTGTTTTGGCTCCTCCCTTTAAACACCTATGCAATCCATTTCAAATCCCTTTTGGCTAACGGAGTGCATTTTATTAAGTGTTCAATAATTATTTTTTGGCTAAATAAATGAATAAAAAATTAAAGATAAAAAGACATAGTATGTTTGCCAGAGTGTTTTTAATGCAACAAAATGTGGAAAACCCAATATATATGAACAAGAATTACAAGATAAAACAGGTCGTATTTTACAAAAGACATTAATACACTTTTTCCTCTAAAAGAGTTTGCATTTTTACAAAGATAAGAGAAAGATAACCAGAGAATATGTTTTATTTTTTTCTTATAAATTAAAATGTGGAAATATTTTTGTAGAAGAAGAAATGAAAGCCCTTATTTTCATAAAACTATCCTAAATATACAAAAGAGATCATTGAGTTATTACATATTTTTCCAAACAAAGTCCTTGACAGATGAATAGTTGACTTATTCAAAAATTTGTATTAAATATCTACTATGATCTATGTGCTAAAGGAGACTTTTCTACAAGAATAAACAGCATGTAACAAAGCACAAATGTAGCAGAGAGAGCCTGACAGAATAAGGAAATGAGAGTTTCCCTATGGAAGGGTAGTAGAATATAAGGCTTATTAAGAGAAGGTCAGTGAACCACTAGCCTCTGCAAAACATGAAGAGGAAGAAAGGAGGTTAAGCTTATTTTAGAGCTTTGTGGACTGAGTTATCATGTATGGTTAGAAAATAGGCCTGAATCCAGCTTGTCTAACCTGAGACCACGGACCACATGGAGCCCAAGACAACTTTGAATATGGCCCAACATAAATTCATAAACTTTCTTAAAACATTGTGAGA
Source organism: Homo sapiens (assembly GCF_000001405.40). NCBI lineage: Eukaryota > Metazoa > Chordata > Mammalia > Primates > Hominidae > Homo > Homo sapiens. The sequence goes on from NC_000016.10 coordinate 64,645,576, forward strand.
TTTGTTTTGCTTTTCTTTTTTTCTCAAGGAAAGCCAAAAGATTGGATACCTCTAGAAATGGCCAAGTTAGATATACTTTGAATATTGGACATCATTCATACAAGATGCAAATGCACATTCCTTTGTCTAGTGGTACCTTGACTAATTAACTAAACCTCATTATGATGGATATCCAGGTGAACTGGCAGCTCTCAGTGATCTATCTGCATTTATTCATTTATTTATTCATTTGTTTACTAATATCTGTTGAGCATCTATTAAATGTATGGGTCTAAAATATATGCTAGAAATAATAAATAAAAATGTGCTGGTCCCTGCATATTGTGCAATTTATAGTGGAGAATGGAAGAGTGTATTATGGGAGAAAACTGACATGGACATTTCTCATCCTCTGGAGTCCTCCATTCTGCCACCTATGGAATTCTGTCCTAGTCTATGAAACTGAATTTTATATATCCAGAGGAGTATTCCTTCCTCTTGACTGTTTTCAGAATACTTTTGGCTGTTTTCTAAGGGTCTTCCAGTATTGGCACAGAACATAGAGGATCTTCCTGCCCCAGGAGGTGGAGGACCTAGTATGAGTCTTGCAGCATTGTGACCAATAAGAGTTAGTTTCTAAGAGAGGCAGCCTTCTCTTGAAAATTCCAGAGGCAGTTTTCTCTGGAGAGGCATCAGCAGTCTCAAGGATGATTCTGGTGTTCTTTTGTAGGCATCCAAAGCCATCTAGAAAGGAGAAAGAAAATACCTGGGCCTGCTCTGCAGAGGACTTATGTGACACTATAGATATTTCCCAAAATACCAGTGGAGGACTTTGAGAAGTGGCCCAAACCACTGAAGCTGGAATGAGTTAGGGGATTTGTATTGCATTTATTGATAACATTGTTAGAAATTTGAAGAGACAGCCAAAGAAGAAAGGATATTCACTTATACTCCCCAGGTACTAAAACTTGTGTTTGCATTTATAAATATAGCTTCCAATGTTTCTCAACATAAAAATGAGTTCAAACCCTAATACTTTTGCATTCTGCCTTTTAAACTTACTATTATACAAAAAAAAAAAGTTCATGGTTTTTCCAATTCATAATTATTGTAGTGAACGTCTATGCTATTTTCTCTTTTGAAGACAAATAATAACTTATTTAAGGTGTTCTCTACTCTTAAGCATTTTAGCCATTTCTATTTTTATGATTATAATTAGTCATGCAAAGTAAAATATAATGTGCATATTATATTACTGCTTTTGCAATTATTTTTAGTATCCTTTTCCAGAATTTAATTCATTAGGTCAAGATATTTTATTTTTTATTTTTATTTACTTATTTTTTTTTGAGACAGAGTCTCGCCCTGTCGCCCAGGCTGGAGTGCAGTGGCGCGATCTCGGCTCACTGCAAGCTCCACCTCCCGGGTTCACGCCATTCTCCTGCCTCAACCTCCTCAGTAGCTGGGATTACAGGTGCCCGCCACCACGCCCGGCTAATTTTTTTTGTATTTTTTAGTAGAGACAGGGTTTCATCATTTTAGTCAGGATGGTCTCAATCTCCTGACCTCGTGATCTGCCCCCCTCGGCCTCCCAAAGTGCTGGGATTACAGGCGTGAGCCACCGCGCCCTGCCAGGTCGAGATATTTTTAAGTTTGCAAGCCAAATCATTTGCCAATAAGGCAGGCTATTTTTAATACAGCATCCTCACCAATTAAATGTTAATTGTTTGAAGTTTGCCAGTTGAATAGATGTTAAATGGAGCATGATTACTTTAAAAACTTGCATTTTATAAATTTACTAATGGTTTCCGGAATATAATCCATTTTACAAACTGGAGTTTCCTCTTAAACTTCTGGAACCTGATGAATCTTATAGAAATCTAAGTTTCTCCTGTTGTAGAACTACTTATTTGATGAAATTTAAATTTTTTCCGCTGGTGGGTTGCCTTATGTGTCATTTTAACTCTTATTACTATATCTCTGAGGTAACCTCCAAACCCAAAGTATGTGGAAAGCTATCCACTGAGGTGATCCTCTTTTATATATGTCTCTGGATTATTTTTTTCATTTATACAAATGTCACATGCCCTTATATTCACACACAGCAGATAGTCATGCTAGAAGGAGCGTTAGACTGAGAAATAAAATAAGCAAGTGAGAGGAGCCAGGATGGCCAATTAGATGGAGCTAGGAAACGCATCTGCCACTGAGAGACCAGACCATGAAGAAGACAAGCACACACTGAACAGATCTGGGGAAAGAAGGCACTGAGAGTGGATGGCGGGAGGATGCATATACTGGGCTGAAAGGGGAGGAAGCTTGTAACCATGCACAGGGTTGCTGAGCGCCAGAACTTGTTTCTGGCCCCAAGTGGCTGCTGAGGAAAGGGGGAGTAAAATAGGTGTGCAGTGGCCCACTCTCTCCACAGACCTCCAGAATCCTAGCTGCAGGAAACCCTATGGCCAACATGGACATTTGAGCTTTCAGGGAGAACTGCCTGGAGAGTTGCCAGAGGCAAAACTCCAGCCTATATGGAGCCCAGAGAGCTGGATGAAGTGGCACGCATCCCTCAAGGCTTGTCATACTCCTCTAGATGGCTTTAGCCTTGTTGGTTGCCTGACCTGGACAAATCAGGGCTATCTTGCTCATGGAACAAGGCCGGTCTCACCTGAGCCCCCCGCCCCCATATGCCAGCCTCTTGCAGGGTTCCTGACTGAAAGTACTTGCTTTCAGAGCAGCATTAACTGCCCAGCTATAACACAGTCCAGCTGCCACTACCATAGCCCTTTCATTGGCAGACTGTGCCTGCCTAACAGGGTTGCTGTTGCAGACAGAATTCCACCACTGTGCACCCACCAGCTGCCTCCCCCAGCTACTGTTGATCTACTGCTGCCCAGGCAGCCAAACCACCTTTGCCAGCACCCCCATTGGAGGTCGTTGCCAACAGACTGGGAACACTTTGGCCCGTACAACACAGCAGTTGCTCAACTTCAACGGGCCAGGGAATAAAGCCATGGGCCAAATACCAAGCCCCCAGGATTAGAGAATGCAGCTCAGGAGTGTGGAGGAGAGGCTTGGCCCTCTATAATCATTCAGAAATAAAGCCAATTGACTAACTTCAATTTATACCACAGTCAAACCCTCAAAGACATCAAAGAATATAAAAGCAAAAAGCCCCATCTAAAGGACAGCACCTTCAAACATTAAAGAAACACTAGATAAGAAAAAAAAATGTACAAGAACATGGGCAACTCTAAACTCTACTTACATTTGGATGTAAGAAGACACCTACATCAAAATGATCACACTAGCTTCCCAGCAATGGTTCTTTACCAGTCTAAAATAGTTGAAATGACAGACACAGAATTGAGAATCTGGGTGTCAACAAAGCTCATCAAGGTTCAGGGGAAAGTTAAAACCCAATCAAAGGAATCTAAGGAATCCAAGGAATCTACTAAAATGATACAAAAGCTAAAAGTTTAAGTAGCCATTTTAAGAAAGAACAAGGATGGGCGCAGTGGCTCACGCCTGTAATCCCAGCACTTTGGGAGGCCAAGGCAGGCGCATCATGAGGTCAGGAGATTGAGACCACGGTGAAACCCCGTCTCTGCTAAAATACAAAAAAAAAATTAGCCAGGTGCCGTGGCAGGGGTGCCTGTAGTCCCAGCTACTCGGGAGGCTGAGGCAGGAGAATGGCATGAAGCCAGGAGGCAGAGCTTGCAGTGAGCCGAGATTGCGTCACTGCACTTCAGCCTGGGTGACAGAGCAAGACTCCATCTCAAAAAAATAAAATAAAATAAAAGAAAGAAAGAAAAAACAAAACTGATATTCTAAATGTGAAAAACTCGCTGCATTAATTTCATAATACAATTGTAATTATTAACATCAGAAAAGACCAAGTTGAGAAAAGAATCTCAGAGCTTGAAGATTGTTTCTTCGAATCAACTCAGTCAGACAAAAATAAAGAAAAAATAATTTAAAAAATGAAGAAAACCCCTGAGATATATGGAATTATGTAAAGAGACCAAACCTATGACTCATTGGCATCTCAGAAAGAAAGAGCAAGGGAGTAAGCAACTTGGAAAACATATTTGAAAATATCATACACAAAAACTTCTCCAATCTCGCTAGAGAGGTTAAAATGTAAATTTGGAAAATGCAGAAAACCCCTGGGAGATACTACACCAGATGATTATCAGCAAAGCACAGACACCAGATTCTCCAAGGTCAATGAAATGAAAAAAATATTCAAGGAAGGTAGAAAGAAAGGATAGGTCAAGTACAAAAGGAAGCCCATCTGACTAACAGTAGACCTTTCAGCAGAAACATTACAAGCTAGAAGAGTTTGAGATCCTATATTCAGTGTATTAGTCCATTCTCACACTAATATGAAGAAATATCTGAGACTAGGTAATATATAAAGAAAAGAGTTTAAATTGACTCACAGTTCTGCAAGGCTGGGGAAACCCTAGCAACCTTACAATCATGATGGAAGGAAAAGCAAACATGTCCTTCTTCACATGGCAGCGGGAGAGAAAAGAATAAGAGTAAAGTGGGGGCAAAGCCCCTTATAAAACCCTCAGATCGCATGGAAACTCACTCACTATCATGAGGACAGCATGAGGGTAACCACCCTCATGAACCAATTACCTCCCCCTGGATCCCTTCCATGACACATGGATGATTATGGGAACTACGATATGATATGAGATTTGGCTACACAGCCAAAATGTATCATTCTTCCCCTGGGCCCTCCCAAATCATGTCCTCACATTTCAAAACACAATCATGCCCTGCCAACAGTCCCACAACATCTTAATTCATTCCAGCATTAACTCAAAAGTCCAACTACAAAGTCTCATCTGAGACAAGGCAAGTCCCTTCTGCCTATGAGCCTGTAAAATCAAAAGCAAGTTAGTTATTTCATAGACACAATGGAGGTACAGGCCCAACGAGAGTTAGGCTCTCACAGCCTTGGGCAGCTCTTCCCTTGTGGCTTTGCAGGATACAGCTCCCTTCCCAGCTGCTTTCATAGGCTGGCATTGAATGTCTGTGGCTTTTCCAGGTGCACAGGGCAAGCTGTCAATGGATCTACCATTCTGGAGTCTGGAGGATGGTGGCCCTCTTTTCACTGCTCCAGCAGGCAGTGCTCCAGTGGGGACTCTGGGTGTTCCAACCCCACATTTCCCTTCCACACTGCCTTAGCAGAAGTTCTCTATGACAGCTCTGCCCCGTGGTAAACTTCTGCCTGGACATCCAGCTATTTCCATACATCCTCTGAAATCCAGGCAGAAGTTCTCAAACCCCAATTCTTGACTTCTGTGCACTACAGGCCCAACATCATCTGTAAGCTACCAAGGCTTGGGGCTTTCACCCTCTGAAGCAATGACCTGAGCTTTACATAGGCCCCTTTTATCCATGGCTGGAGTTGAAGCATCTGGGATGCAGGGCACCATGTCCCAAGGCCACACAGAGCGTGGGGGGAGCCACTGGGCCTGGCCCACAAAACCATTTTTCTCTCCTAGGCCTCAGGCCTGTGATAGGAGCTGCTGTAAAGGTCTCTGACATGCCCTGGAGACATTTTCAGCATTGTCTTGGAGATTACTTATTACTTATGCTTCTCCTTACTTACGCAAATTTCTTCAGTGGGCTTGAATTTCTCCCATAAATTGAGTTTTTCTTTTCTATTGCATCATCAGGCTGCAAATTTTCCAAACTTTTATGCTCTGTTTCCACTTGAACACTTTGCCGCTTTGAAATTTCTTCTGCCAGATACCCTAAACCATCTCTCTCAAGTTCAAAGTTCTGCAGATCTCTAGGGCAGGGGTAAAATGCCACCAGTCTCTTTGCATAGCAAGGGTGACCTTTATTTCAGTTTCCAACAAGTTCCTTATTTCCATCTGAGACCACTTCAGCTTGGACTTCATTGTCGCTAACACTATCAGCATTTTGGTCAAGGCCATTCAACAAGTCTCTAGGAAGTTCCAACCTTTCCCAATCTTCCTGTCTTCTTCTGAGCTCATCAAACTGTTTCAACCTTTGCATGTTACCCAGTTCCAAAGTCACCTCCACATTTTTGGGTATCTTTATAGCAGCATCCCACTCCCCAGTACCGATTTACTCTATTAGTCCATTCTCATGCTGCCAATAAAGACATACTCAAGACTGGGTAATTTATAAAGAAAAGAAGTTTAACTGACTGACAGTTCTACATGGCTGGGGAAGCCTCAGGAAACTTAACAATCATGCTGAAAGGCACCTCTTCATAGGGCAGCAGGAGAGAGAATGAGTGCCCAGCAAAGTGGAAAGACCCTTATAAAACAATCAGATGTTGTGAGAACTAACTCACTATCATGAGAACAGGATGGGTGAATCCACCCCCATGATTCAATTATCTTCACCTGGTCCCTCCCATGACACATGGGGATTATTGGAATTACAATTCTAGATGAGATTTGGGTGTGGACACAGCCAAACCGTATCATTCAGTATCCTTAAACAAAAGAAATTCCAACCAAGAATTTAATATCCAGCCAAACTAAGCTTCATAAGTGAAGGAGAAAATCCTTTTCAGACAAGCACATTCCCAAACTCCTGGCCTAGAGTGATCCTCCCACCTCAGCCTCCCAAAGTGCTGGGATTACAGGTATCAGCCACCATGCCTAGCCCAGACAAATAAATTCTGATGGAACTTGTTGCCACCAGACCTGCCTCACAGGAGGTTCTTTAGAGAGTGCTAACCACAGAAATGAAAGACCATTACCAGTCACCACAAAAATACTCTTAAGTGCATAGCCCACTGACACTATAAAGTGTCAATAAAGATACAATAAAGTCTACATAGTAGCCAGTTAACAACACAATATAGGATCAAATACTCACATATCAATATTAACCTTTAACACAAATTAGCTAAATGCCCCATTTAAAAGGCACAGAGTGGCAGGTCTGATAAAGAAGCAATACTCAATAGTATGTTGTCTTTAAGAGACCCATCTCACAAGCAATGACACCCACAGGCTCAAAGTAAAAAGTTGGAGAAAGATCTGTTGAGCAAAGAGAAAACAAACAACCAAACAAAAAAACAGGTGTTGCTATTCTCATTTCAGACAAAACAGACTTTAACAACAATCAACAACAAAAGGAAAACAAAAGAATGACATTACATAATGATAAAAACAACTTGCTCCTGACTGATGTTAAATTAAGACACACAAAAAAATCATCAAAAACTAATGAAAACCCACAGACAAGATTCAAGAATCTCTGGGACACTGCTAATGCAGTGTTAAGAAGAAAGTTTACAGCACTAAATGCCTGCATCAAAAAGTTAGAAAGATTTCAAATTAACAACTTAATATTATAGCTAGAGGAACTAGAAAAACAAGAGCAAACAAACCCCAATGCAAGCAATATAAAAGAAATAACCAAAATCAGAGCTGAACTAAATAAAACTGAGATGTGAACATCCATAAAAAAGATTAACAAAACCAAAAGTTTCTTCTTTCAAAGAATAAATAAGATTGGTAGACCACTATCTATACTAATAAGACAACAAAACAAGATCCAAATAAAAACAATTAGAAATGACAAAGATGACATAACCACTGACCTCATGGAAATACGAACAACCCTCAAAGACTGTTGAGAACATCTGTATGCACAAACACTAGAAAACCCAGAAGAAATAGATAAAATCCTGGAAACATGCAACCTCCCGAGATGGAACCAGAAAGAAATCAAATATCTCAATAGGCCAGTTATGAGTTTTGAAATTGAATCAGTTTAATAAAAAAACAAAACTACCAACCAGAAGAAGCCCTGTACTAGATGGATTCATAGCCAAATTCTACCAGATGTTTAAAGAGCTGGTACCAATCTTACTGAAACTATTCCAAAAATTTAAGGAGGAGAGCCTCCTCCCTAACTCATTCTATGAGACCAGTATTATACTGATACCAAACCTTGGCAGAGACAAAACTAAAAAAGAAAGCTTCAGGCAAATATCGCTGAGGAACACAAATGCAAAAATCCTCAGCAAAATACTAGCAAATCAAATCCAAAATCACATTGAAAAGCTAATCCACCATGATCAAGTAGTCTTACTTCCTGGTACACAAGGTTGATTCAACATATACAAATCAATAAATGTGACTCATCACATAAACAAAACTAAAAACAAAAACCACATGATTATTTCAATGGATACAGAAAAGGCTTTAGATAACATTCAACATCTCTTCATGTTAAAAACCATCAACGGAGCATCAAAGGAACATAAGTCAAAATAATATGAGCCATCTATGACAAACCCAAGTGAACATCATACTCACTGGACCAAAGCTGGAAGCATTTCTCTTGAGAACCAGAACAAGACAGCACTTCTGGACATAGGCCTTGGCAAAGATGTCATGATGAAAACTCCAACAGCAATTGCAATGGAAACAGCATTTGACAACTGGGACACAATTAAACTAAAAAGCTTCTGCCCAGCAAAAGAAACAATCAACAGAGTATAAAGATAGCTTACATAATAGGAGAAAATATTTGCAAACTGTGCATCTGACAAAGATCTAATATCCAGAATCTATAAGGAACTTGAACAAATCAGCAAACAAAAACAATTCCATTAATAAATGGGCAAAGGCCATGAGCAATACTTGTCAAGAGAAGACATACATAAGGCCAACAAGCATACAAAAAAATACTAAAAATCACTAATCATTAGAGAAATGCAAACTGAAACCACACTGAGATGCTATCTCATACCAGTCAGAATGGATATTACAAAAAAGTCCAAAAATAGCACCTTGGTAAGTTTCCAGGAAAAGGGAATGTTTATATACTGCTGTTGAGAATGTAAATTGGTTCAGCCACAGTGGGGAGCAGTTTGGAGAGTTTGGAGATTTCTCAGAAAACTTAAAGCAGTACTACCATTTGACCCAGCAATCCCATTACTAGGTATATACCCAAAGGAATCTAAATTGCTGTACCTTAAGGCACATGCACATGTATGTTATCACAGTAGCCAAGACATAGAATCAAGCTGGATGCCCATGAGTGGTAGACTGGATAAAGAAACTGTGGTACATATACACCATGAAATACTGCACAATCATAAAAAGAATGAAATCATTTCCTTTGTAACAACATACATGCAACTGGAGGCCATTATCCTAAGGGAATCAATACAGAAAATCAAATACTGCATGTTCTGACTTATAAATGGGAGCTAAACATTGAGTACACATGGACACAAAGAAGGGAATGACAGACACCAAGGCCCACTTGAGGGTGAAGGATGGGAGGATGCTGAGGATCAAAAAACTACCTATTGGGTACTATGGTCATTAACTGGATAACAAAAATCATTTGTACACCAAACCCCAGCAACACACAATTTGCCCATGTAGCTAACGTGTATATGTATCTCCTGAACCTAAAATAAAAGCTGGAATCAGTAAAAAATAAGCAGTCTCTGCCCCTACAATGCTATGTCATATGTGGTAACTAATGACCTTTTGGCGTCTACCTAGATCCATTTTATTAATCTAAGAAATTAGATGGTGAACTACGTGATTTTATTTTTTTTCTTCTTTGAAATCTCTATTTGCTGAAATTTTATTGAGTTTGATACACATTTTTTTCCAGTGTTTAATACTTTCGGAATGAGAGTAAGTCTTTTCACAGGTGTCAAAAGCCACACAGGAATGAGGAATTGATACTGACAGCACACCAACAAGCTTAGCGTTATATGCAGGTATCTCATTATATGATTATCTACATGACTGAGGCAAGATGAGGCATTTGAGTGGTGGTGCCCCATAGGAATGAATTTTAATTTAAACTTAATTTTTAATTAACACATAAAATGTATTTTACCAGATTGTAACAAGATGCAAGATTAAAATGACAATCATTTTGTGAATAGATAATTTCTAGTCACATGCCAGGCAATGTGATCGAGGAAAATAGAAATGGTCAAAGCTCTCAGAACAGATCACAGACTTCAAAGCTAACAGAAGTTGTTTTCAACAAAATATATACCATCAAATCTTACTTTTATACTAGTTTAAAAGCTTCCACCTTATTTTAGAGATAAGTTTTTCAATTTTAAATGGTATATAATTCAACTAAGGGAAAGAATAAAATCATAGATTTACTTACAAATGAAAAACAGATGAAAATCCTGGATTCTCTTATATTTAAATGATACTATCAATTTGAGTTGTTGAAGATACAAGAAACAAAAATACAAATATCACAGAAAGCTGCATGTGCATACATCAGTATATAATATAATGAAAAATGAATCAGAAAAAGTTACAAATACTGAATTAAAGGTATGTACATTTGATACTTAAGAAAAAGGTCATGAGCAATTAATGACTTAATTCATCATGTTCACTAGCAACAACAAAAGCTAGTGATTAGCATAGTGTTCTTTTAAATTTTTTTTCTGGAAAACTCATTTTTACTTCATCTTGCATCTCAATAAAGAAACATTTTTATGATTCTGTCCCCTCAAATATTATAAATACATATCAACCCTTGAAATTTAAACTACTTTAGCTTTACAAGGATCTCAATTTACTTACTTTTTATTGTTAAATAAAGCACACTTTTATAGTATTTAAATAATTGCCTTCCATTTTCTGTGAGGGTGTTTATGTATTTTCTGGAAATATTAAAAAATTGAGAAATTTGGAATTATTCAGGAGAGATCACCATTCAGTATATTGTTCGGAAGTGATAATCAATAAGACTAGGGAAAAATGGGTAGTACAGAGAAGGGTTCTAAATAAAGATTATTCACCCCCAAGTAAACTTTTGTCTATAAAAGTCCAACGGTAAATTATTATTTTAATAAAAGAATGTTACTGAACTATTGAATGAGTTGGAATGGGAAATTGGGAAGTGTTTGGTAAATTTTATAGTCATTATGCTTCTCTTTCTACTATTCCTCTGAAACATAAAGAATGTTAAAACGATTCTAAAAATATCACCCACTTGTTATTATAGTTTCCTCACATTCTCTGATCTTTTGACACAATGGCCAGCGATCCCACCACGTGGCTTCCTCAAAACTCACTCAGGTTGCTGCCCACTGTAGGTCACACATATTTATTCAACAAATTTCTTAGAAGTAGCTCACTCATCTTCTCATTTGGCTCTCAGTGTGGGGACTGCTCTCCAAGTTTCTCTGAGAGGAGTCTCTGTGCTCTGGTAATTAGAGGCGTAAGTGTACTAATTATATTTTTGGCAGCAAAGAACTCTGCCAGATAAATAAAGTAGCCCAGGTGTAAGAGAAGAAGGAAATAAATACTGCAGGAGGTGCTGCTGGCTTTGTTTCCCCAGTAGAATTTTAAGTGCTTTCCAAACCTTTTAAAATACCTGGATAGTGACATTCATAAGCCTTTGTAAAATTTAATTGGAGCAATCCCATTAAACTGAGAATAGTTCAGAAGAGTCATGAAAAGAAGTAAGGTTAGATAGGGACGTGAAAGCACACTGCTGCAACTCAATTACTTGAAAAATATATTAAAGACTAATTTGATCTTATGTTTCCCCACAAGTATAGCTATTTAAAAATCCATGTTAAATGTAGCTACCCCAAAATGCTAAAATTGAGATTAATCTTTAAAAATGTAAAATTACACATTAAAGTGTAAAGTGTAAAAACACAATAAAGGAAAGAAGAATACTAAGATTAGGTAAAATATATTACTGAATTTGAAAATGGCTTTAAATATATCCAGAGAGAAGTTTCTCATCCCTCTACTCTATTCTGACATCACTGAGGCAGGATTTGGTCCCCTTCTTCATCTTTACCAATCTCTGCAATGGGCACCTATAATTCTAGGGACACCCAGAACTCCCTGTTTTCTGGAAGCAGCCACTTTTCCCAGTCTTGCTGAGACCAAGTAACCCCAAACCCTGGCTCAAAAATACTGTATCAGCAAATACTCCAAGTAGAACCAACCAGATAATTTTCTGGCACTATCGTCTGAATGTATGTGTCTCCTCAAAATGTATATATTGAAATTCTAAACTCTAAGGTGATACTTCTAGGAGGAGGGGCCCTTGGAGATGATTAGGTCAAGAGGGTGGAAACTTCATGATTAGCACTAGTACCATTATAAAAGAGCCCAGAGAGCTAGCTAGCTCCTTTTACCATGTGAGGACAAAGCAAGAAGGTCTCATCTATGAGACAGTGGGCCCTATCCAGACACTGAATCAGCTGGTATGTTGATCTTGGCCACATTTCTGTCTCCAGAACTATGAGAAATAAATTTCTGTTGCTTATACCTAGTCTGTGGTATTTTGTTACGACAGCCCAAATGAAGTAAGGCACCTGGATATCTGGAATGGATAAAAATACCAACTCAGTCTAGCCACACTGTTTTGAAACTGGGGAGCTATAATATTGGGAACTTTCTTTGTTATGTCCGTGAGTAAAGGGGAAATAAATACTTCAGTAAATTTGATGATAGAGGGCACAGAGCATGCAGAAAGATTATGATAGGGAGAGAAGTATGATGATGGTTTTGTCCACAGATCCAGGTTTTCCTAAAATTAAACTGCAATGTTGCCATTAGGCTCTTGGAGAGATTTTATTACCTTTACAGAAAACTCCTTAATTATTTATTTTAAAATATTCTGGGTTTATTGTTTTGAAATCTAAATCTACTGTGGTATTGAATAAGACAGACTAGCTAGTGTATATAATTTCCCATTATTCCTTATTGCAATTCAGCCATTGTGTTCTAAATAAGTCTCTTATTAGAGAAGTTTAATTTGGGTTTCTCTTATTTTAACTCCAAAGAGAGTTAACTAGTATTTAGTGACACATAGTATATACTTATCTAATATTTGAAAAATACTGACTGATGGAATAAAATCAAGGATTGATATTCTGACACTTTGGGCCACATGTTCTGAGTTTTAAAGGAGAGAATAGGTAAAATTTTAAGAAATAAGAATAACGAGAAGAGTACTTCAAATGAAAGGATTCCATCAGTCCAAGTAAGAAACAGAAAGACATCAGGCATGGCAGGGAACAAAGGCAATTTAGATGAAGGGTGATATTAAGATAAAAACATGATAGGATATAGGAATACATAAGTGTTTGAGGTTTAGGTTTAGGAGGGAAGGGAAAGCATGGGATGCTTTATGGGTTTGGGAGTGAAGGAATCACATCTGTATTTTAGGACTGTTTGGGATTCTACATTTAATATGGTAACAGGAACAGAGAGTAAAGATGCCAATACTAATTAAGATGCCAATACTAGTTGAATAGCTTAGTTATAAACTGTCCAAGTTTTGAGCTAGCAATGGAAAATTAGATGAATAAGTTTATTTAAGCAAAGCAGAGAGATGTGGTGACTGGAAGTGGAGAGAAAGGGAGAGTAGACTCAAAGAGGACTCCGGAGCCTTTTTTACTTGTTTTTTTTCCTCCAGAACTTTTTCATCCTGCATAGTTTCATAACTGAAACTGTACACTTTGAACAACATCTCTCCATTTCCACAACCCCAGCCCCAGAAACCAGCATTCTACTCTCTACTGTTGGGACTTTGACGTTTTGAGATTCCACATATAAGTGATGTCACGCATATTTGTCTTTCTGTGCCTGACTTATTGCATGTAGCATAATGTCTTCCAGGTTCATTCATGTTATTGCAAATGACAGGATTTCCTTCATTTTTAAGGCAGAATTATATTTATATATATGTTTGTATATGTTTTTGTGTATTATATTTTCTTTATTCTCACATCTATTGACATTTATGTTGAATCAATATCTTGACTATTGTGAATAATCATACAATGACATGTGGGTGCAGATATCTCTTTGACGTACTGATTTCATTTCCTTGGATGTATACCAAGAAGTGAGATTGTTGAATCTTATGGTAGTTCCTTGCTTTCTTTTCTTTTCTTTTCTTTTTTCTTTCTTTCTTTTTTTTTTTTTTTTTTGTTTTTTGTTTTTGAGACAGGGTCTCACTCTGTCGCCCAGACTGGATGCAGTGGTGTGATCAAGGCTCACTGCAGCTTCAACCTCCCCAGGCTCAGGTGATCTTCCCATTTCTGCCTCCTGAGTAGCTGGGACTACAGGCGTCTGCCGTCATGCTTGGCTAATTGCTCTGTTTTTTTTGTAGAGATGAAGTTTCACCATGTTACCCAGGCTGGGCTCAAACTCCTGTGTTCAAGCAATCCATTAGCCTCTGCCTCCCTAAGTGTTGGGAATGACAGGTGTGAGCCATTGCACCCGGCTTAGTTTTTTTTTGGTTGTTGTTGTTGTTGTTGTTGTTGTTTTGAGAAACCTCCATACTGTTCTCCACACAGTTTTCATACTGTGTGAGCCACTGCACCCAGTGTATTAATTTTTTGAGAAACCTCCCTACTGTTTTCCATAATGACTATGCCAATTTACATTCCTAACAACAATGTACAGTGAAAAAACAGTGTTCATTTCTCTCCACATCCTTGTCAACACTAGTTATCTTTGTCCTTCTGATAATATCCATTCGAGTAAGTACAAGATGATACTTCACTGTGGTTTTGATTTGCATTTCCCTGATGATTAGTGATGTGCATATTTTCTTTTGGAAAATACTGATTCAGATTCTTTGTCCATTTATAATCAGGTTATATGTTTTCTAGCCATTGAGTTGCTTGAGTTCATGACACATTTTGAATATTAATCCCTTATACAATATGTATGGTTTGAAATACTTTTTTCCCATTCCATAGGTTGTCTCTTCACTTTGTTGATAGTTTTCTTCACTGTAAAGAAGCTGTTTGGTTTGATGTCAATCCATTTGTTTATTTTTGCTTTTGTTTTCTGTGCTTTGGGGATCATATTCAAAAAATCATTGCCCAAACTCATGTCAAAAGCTTTTTCCCTGAGTTTACTTCTAGTACTTTGCAGGGGTGTCTAAACTTTTGGCTCCCCTGGGTCACATTGGAAGAAGAAGAATTGTCTTGGGCCACACGTAAAATACACTAACACTAACAATAGCTGATTAACTAAAAAAAAAAAATGGCAAAAAAATCTCATAATGTTTTAAGACAGTTTACCCATTTGTGTTGGGTCACATCCAAAGCCGTCCTGGGCCACAAGCAGCCCACAACCCGCGAGGTTGGACAGACTTGTTTCATAGTTTCAGGTCTTACATTTAAGGCTTTAATTCATTTTATTTTTGTATACGGTATTAGATAAAGGCCCAATTTTATTCTTCTGCATGTGGATATTCAGTTTCCCTAACAACACTTACTAAACAAACTGTCTTTTCCTCATTAATATTCTTGGCATCTTTGTTGAAGATCAATTAATTATAAATGCATGGATTTGTTTCTGGGCTTTCTGTTCTGTTCCATTGCTCCATGTGTCTGTTTTTATATCAGTACCATGCTATTTAGATTACTGTAGTTTTGTGATATATTTTGACATTGGAGAGTGGGATACTTCCAGCTTTGTTCTTCCAGCTCAAGATTGCTTTGGTTATTCTGGGTCTTTTGTGTTTTCATATACATTTTAATATTTTTTTCTATTTCTGTGAAAAAGTCATTTGGAATTTTGGTAGAGATTGCATTGAATAGGTAGATTGCTTTGAGTAGTAAATCCATTTAAAAAATATTAAGTCTTCCAATCCATAAACACAAAATATGTTTCCATTTACTTGTGTCTTTAATTTCTTTCATCAGTGTTTTGTACTCTTCAGTGTATAGATCATTCACTTTGTTAAACTTATTTCTAACTATTTTAATTTGTGTTTATTCTGTCCTAAATAAAATCTTTCTTAAAACTTTTTGAATAGTTTGTTGTTAATGTATAGCAGTGCAACTAATTTTTGCATGTTGATTCTGTATTCTACAACTTTACCGAATTTGTTTTAGCAGCTTTTGGTAAAGTCTTTAGGATCATCTACATATAAGATCATTTCATCTGCAAACAGAGACTATTGTACTTCTTCCTTTCAAATGTGGATGTCAGAGGATTCTAGAGTCACATGGACAAAATAGTTATTCCATAGGGCAAATTTCAGAAGTCAAAGCAAAAGCTATTTTTGAAGAAATGCATGTATGTTGTAAGTTCCATTTTAGACACCTTAAGTTGAGATATCAGAATGGAGGTGATTAGTAGGCAGAAGGAATGTATAAAAGATGTTAAATAAGGAGTTACTGCAATATAAAATGATAATTAAAAATCTGGCATTAAGTCAGTTAGAGAGCTATTAATTATTCTATTATTTCCAAATGTAAACCTAGTACCTTTCTACAGGACACATCTTAGAATTGAATATACTTATTTCATTTACATTTACTTTTAGTGATATATGATATGTTAAATCCAAAATTCTTCTCACTATAACAAAGTGATTCATTGCTGAAATTATAAAAAGCCTAATTCTGTTCTTTAGGAGGTAAATTTATGCCTCTGGGAGAAGACATTTTTAGAGGGGTTCTCTACAAACATTTGCTGAATAAATGAACAATATTAGAACTATAGGAGAGGAGAGAACATGTTGCATATTGTGTAACTCAGATCTAACACACAGCTGACGTTTGAGACATGCTTACCATTAAATATATTCTTCCATCAAATCGTGAGTCTCAAGCTTACCTAAGGCCAGACCATGACAAATAAGTGCTGCCAACAGGTTAATGATTTGAGATCTGAAGTGGGAAAACACATATATAACGGGCCAACTTTTCTTCCCTCTTTTCCTCCCTCCCTCCCTCCCTACTTCTTCCTTTTCTCCTTCCCTTATTTTTCTTCCTTCCTTCCCTCCTTCCTTCCCTCCTTCCCTCCCTCCTTCCTTCCCTCCTTCCTTCCTTCCCTCCTTCCTTCCCTTCTTCCTTCCCTCCCTCCTTCCTTCCCTCCTTCCTTCCCTCCTTCCTTCCCTCCCTCCTTCCTTCCCTCCTTCCTTCCCTCCTTCCTTCCCTCCCTCCTTCCTTCCCTCCTTCCTTCCCTCCTACCTTCCCTCCTTCCTTCCCTCCTTCCTTCCCTCCTTCCTTCCTTCCTTCCCTCCTTCCTTCCTTCCTTCCCTCCTTCCTTCCTTCCTTCCCTCCTTCCTTCCCTCCCTCCTTCCTTCCCTCCTTCCCTCCTTCCTTCCCTCCTTCCTTCCTTCCCTCCTTCCTTCCTTCCTTCCTTCCTTCCTTCCTTCCTTCCTTCCCTCCTTCCTTCCTTCCCTCCCTCCTTCCTTCCCTCCCTCCTTCCTTCCCTCCCTCCTTCCCTCCCTCCTTCCTTCCCTCATCCACATAAAAGTTTTTGTAAAAATATGCAAAAATTCTTACATCTACTGGTTAAGCTGATAGAGGAGGAAGTGATTTTCATTGTAAGACTATCTGAGTTTTAAGATTAAAAAATATGTTTGGTGGCCTAATCGTTCCAGTACTGGGGCATTTCCTATCTGCAGATGCAGAGGGAAGAAATCTGTGCTCTTTTTGTGGTATTTATTTTATTTTTTCCTTCAACTCTCACCTATTAAGGATTATTATGTTATTAAGTTATTTATTAGTCATTGAAGAATAGATTGCCTCACAATCTGGTAAGAGAAAAATGAAAATATAAATTAATAATGAGACAGTATAATGGGTATCAAAATGGAAGATTCCACTGTAGTCACCAGGCTCACCCCTAAAATGTTTGAGGCCTGAGGCAAGTGTACACATGGAGGCCTATCTACCTTATTTCTAAATATTTAAGAGTAATAAGTATAGTTAACAACTGTTCAATAAAATATTGAATCTTGATTAAATACATAGTCATAGCAAAAACAGAATGAATACTTGCTAACTTGTTCCTTTTTCTCCCTCAACCTTCTCTTCTAATTTCTTAAGAAATCCACAGAACAAAATTCTACTTTATTTTCCTCTTTATTTTTTGGAGGGGTAGGTAGAAGTTAATTTCTCCCCCTGTCCAGGGTAAGCTCACAGTGCTCCCTCCTCCATTTTTGCTGGGTTTCTTCTTCCCTGGCCAAGTTCAAATGAATACACATTTGTAAGGGACTCACAGCCCATATTCGCCTTGGGAACCTGAGACTCAAAAGCCAGGTTTAGATTTAGAATTCTCAACTTATTGGCACAAAAGAAGCAGATAATTGGCCTACACCCTTTCTGTTCGCCTGTCTAGCCTCATCTCAATTCTCTGTGGTCTCTCACACATCAATTTAAAACCAGGAGCACACTTGGAAACTCTAACCACAACCCCCTACTCTGACTACAAGAAGTTCCCTCCGAAGGGCAAACTTTGAGAAAATCGTCAGCATAGGTCTCAGATGTACATTTCTGGCCATTTGGGGGTGGAATTCTGGAGCTTCTGAACTGTGGTCTGGAAGAGAAGGGTACATGGGCTCCAGTTATAAATATCCCCTAAGCCATCAGATTCTTCCCTTAAAGAGGAAAGGCACTCATGCTTCCTCTGATGCCAGGGTCTTTGATGCCAGGGTCCTGGCCAAAGGTGAAGGCATTGCAGTGCAATACAGAAGCCACTAGCTACACCTGGCTATTTCAATTTTAATTGTAATTGATTAAATATGAATAAAATTTAACATTTAGTTATTCAGTCTCACTAGCCACATTTCAAGTGCTCAATAGATACAAATGGCCAATAGCTACCACTGTGGTCAGTGCAGATGTAGAACACCTTTCTCACTGAACAAAGTTCCTTTGGATAGCATTGAAGTAGGCAAATCTCCAGCAGCTTGGTTTGACAGCCATGCTACTGAAACACATTTACTCAAATAAAGTAGAATTCCATCTTCACAGATTATCGGTTTAGAACAAGTTATCATACTAAAGAGAATTGAGAAAAAAGGTGACAAAGCACATTAGGATATAGGAGGAATTTTATAATTTATCTAATGTCGGAACTTTGTCTTTATAGAAAATAAAGACCATATCTTATTTTACTTTAGTACTATTCAAATCTAGCTCTGTTCAAGTACAATGATATATATGAGAATGGCAGGTTTATGCCCCTTAAAGAAAAAAAATAGAGAGAATGTGGCTGTTTCAAGGAATAAAACGGAGGCAGAGGGGCATTGCTATGGGCTTAAAGTATAACTCTCTTCCTTGAAACTATTCAGCCACTTCCTCTTTTATTAGGGTGAATATTAAAATCCAAACAGCTAAGATTGAGAGTGAGCTCCTATTTTAAGAGGTTGTGTGTAATCTGATCCTAATTTACCTCTCATGGGTAATTGCTGGCTTTTCTGTCTCTTTCCCAGTTACTCTTCATTTCTTTCAGTACCTCAGAGTGTGATACTCTCTTGATCTCTGTAATAGTTGATATTATATGTCAACTTGTCTAGGCTATGATTCTTAGTTGTCTGGCCAAACACTAGTCTAGATGCTGCTATGAAGATGTTGTTTAGATGTGATTAACATTTATAATCAGATTACCCTTCATAATGTTAGCCATTTGATCAGTTGAAGCCCTTAAGAGCAAAGAAAGGGATTGCCCAATGAAGAAGGAATTTTCAAGACTGCAACATTAATTTTCATCTGAATTTCCAGCCCACTGAGCTGACCTACAGGTTTGAGATTTGCCAGCCCTCATAACACTCACACAATCAAGTGATCAAGTTAGCCAATTAATTAAAATCAATCTCTCTCTCTCCTCTCTCTCTATACACACACACACCTATACATATAAACATATATGTATATATGCACATACATGTATATTCATGTATACATACATGTATGTATATATACATATTATATATTATTGTGTGATATTTTATATATGTATACAATAATATGCATATGTACATATGTACACACATATATACACTTACACATATATGCACGTATATATATCTGCATATATATACATATACATATTGTATACACATATATAAAATAAACATGCATATATACACATGTGTATATACAAATAAACATATACATATTATTGTATACACATGTTAATGTACATGTGTGTATATATACACATGTATATATGTGTAAATATTAAATATATGTTGTATGTTTACATGTATATGTGATCTCCTGTTGGTTCTGTTTCTGTAGAATAGAAAGCCCCAATGCAATGTCTTTATCTGCGTTTTCCCATCATCCCATCATATTCTCACCACCATAACCTCTCCCCACACTCTCAATTTGTCTAACTCCTATTCATCTTTGTATCTTTCTTTTGAAGTCATTTTGTCTGGGAAGCATTTCATGATTGTTAAGATGGTTCAAAAGGTAACTTTCTTAGTGTTCCCAAAGTATTCCCAAAGTTCATTACCCTAATCCTTCCAATGTGGCTGTTTAATTACTACAAGTTATCAGAAGGCAATTTTTTTTTTTTTTTTGCGGGGAAGGGTGTTTTTTCACAAGACCTGGAACAAAATAGATATTCAGTAAATGTGTGCTGAGAAAATGAGTTAATTAATAACTAAATGAATAAGTAAGTAAGGAATGATAAAATGGTAGGATAAGAAATACAGACAAAAAAATCAAGGGGAAACGATTTTCTAGAATATTAGAAAGCTGAATTTGTGGAAGGAGATCAATCAAAGACATAAAGACATAACCATAGATAATTCCAGTGAGATGGGAAAATACTAATTGTTATGATTATCATCACCGGATGCCTACTGTGTCCTTGATATGTGCAGACATAATTTAAAGCACTTAGTCACTTCATTGCATCTTCGTAACTACTTCATAAAATACATGTTATGATGATCTCAAACTAGTGATTTTCCAAACAGTTGACAAACCTGAAACATAGAAACATAGAAATCATGCACACTCGGCGCAAGCTCACACAGCTAATAGGTAACAAAGACAAGATTTAGTCAGATCAGACTGGTTCCAGTGCCTGGGCTTACAATCCCTTCATAATATTGCTTCCAGACCCCTTGAAAGAAATATAATCTTTGAGGAGAACTGAATTCCACATTGTCTTTGCCTTCAAGCATAGCACTTGAACTTGTTTTTAATGTATTATGTTAAGCTTTAAATTGCGGATAACATTTCTTTTCCAACCAGTTTTCCATCAGTAAAGCTTGCCTCTGATTCTATAATCATTACCATCCATTATAGTCATGTACATGTGAGCTTCCCTAAACAAGTCAAAGCATTCAGAAAACGAGTTTTCTCAGGTACTGCAGGAGGAAATGACTGTTTACCAGGAAATCATTATCCGTATGAAATGGACTGAAAGTGGATGTTATTTAGCATGAAATCATGTAGAATGACCCTGAAAGATTTTAAAAAGTAATCAGGAACATTGCATCTGCTCCCACCGATTCATAATAACTGGGAGTTCACCTTTCCAAACAAGAAGACAGATTCTGGATTTATAATATTTTTCCACAGCACATAGAGTTCTAACAGATTTGTGACCATGAACTAACCTAAAATGAATAGAACCATGGTCAGGTTTAGGAGTTTTTCACAGCTTTAAAAGAAATTTTAACATGACATGACTTCTTGAAGAAATAAGAAATGGCTGTCAGGAAACATTAGATATGAAAGTAATTTGATAGATGCATTGCATGTATAATAGAAAATACCTTCATTATCAACTATGAATGAAATAGAAATAAAATCTATTGCTAAAAGCTCATCAATTTTTGGCCAGGCCTGGTAGCTCACTCCTATAGTTCCAGTGTTTGGGAGGCCAAGGCAGGAGGACCACTTGAGGCCAGGAATTCTAGACCAGCCAGGACAACATAGTGAGACCTTGTCTCTACCAAAAAATTTTTTAAAAATTAGCCAGGTGTGGTGGCATGTGCTTTTAGTCCTACCTATCTGGGGGGCTGAGGTTGGGAGGATCACTTGAATCCAGGAGTTGGAGACTGCAGTCAGCTGATTGCACTCCCGCCTGTCTCTAATACAAAATAAATAAATAATATGTTTCGGTGACCTCATTCACTGTATCTAGATCTTCTGTTTCTTTGATTCCATAAAATCCATGTTGAGTATACAGGGT
This sequence comes from Homo sapiens, assembly GCF_000001405.40. NCBI lineage: Eukaryota > Metazoa > Chordata > Mammalia > Primates > Hominidae > Homo > Homo sapiens. The sequence goes on from NC_000016.10 coordinate 64,667,514, forward strand.
TGTCAGCAGCTGATTGATCATGTCAGGGACTCTGAGGGCCAGGGAGGGACACACTTAGCTCTCCTGTGTTGGCTCCTGCTTTGTGTTGCAGCTTGCTTTTGATATTCTTGCTGAAACAAATTGAAACTTAATCCAATGCTAAAATGGCTGTGTGCATATTGCATTCAAAAAAATGTTAAGAAAGCACAGCTCTGCATGGTGCAGGGACTAACCTGTATCACCACAAAATTCCACAGATGTCAGCGCATCCATTTTCTATTTAAGCAGGAAGCTGTTGTATACTTCACAATATGTGGTATTTATTCTTCACTTATCTGTGCAATGACAAATCTGATCCATTATGCAGATTTAAAAGGTTTAGTAGATTCTTATGAATTTTCAGGAGAGTTTAAGTAGTGTCTCACTTTCCTAAACTCCAAAAGGATATCATATTGCACACTTCATAGGAACATGATAAGAATTAGAATGAGAAAATGTCGGCTTATTATAAGTATTATCATCTCAATATTCTTAATTATATTTCAGTGTCTTTTAAAAAACCCTTAAAAATATTGCCAGTTTGTTAATCTATCACTATGTCTCAATACTGTACATAATTTGAGTCAAAACAGAATTTACATAGAAATATTTACATGACTTTTGTATTTACATTCATTTTGTACCAGACCACAAGGGTGTCACCCATGTGCTCACCTTTTGTTTTACACATTTTGTTTATACACCTTTTGTTTTACATCCCTGCATTCTAAGCCAAAACCAAAACAAAAGAGCAAAATTTACCTTTTGGAGTCCGTTATTCAATGATATGCAAAGTGATTTAGTGATTTTTGTTATCAGATTCAAGCAGGCCCTAGTCAGCTATTTTGACATTCACATTCCAGCCACATTTTCGAATTTTCAATAAATGCAAAAATGTTCTATGGTGTATTTTAATTCTCCAAATGGATTCAAAAATGGATGTCTTTCCTGCAAAAGTGTTATTGAAATATATTTGAAAGTCCCTAATGCCATTAATATGACCTAACTTAGCATGAATAAAAGCTTTCCCTTAGTAAAAATGGAGCCACTATGGACAATTACTCTAGCAATGATCTCAGCAAGAAAGATATTTAATTATGTTAACAAAGGATATTTATTTTCCCTTGTTCCCCCCAACTTTTTTTTTAAACTGCTTCGCCATTTGGTTCACAGAAGTAGTTTGTTTCCTCACACCCCGCCTTGGAAATCATTATTATTAACTGCTATAGATCAGTTTAGTGGGATCCACTCAGCTATTCTTATAGTCTCAAATGACCTTTATTAAATTTTAATTTTAGCTAAAACTTCTAATTTTTCCATGACTCAAGAACAAATTCACTAAGCGAACAAGTCAGAAATGCAGGTTCTGTCGCTGTTTTTGACTTTTCAAACCAATCATAGAAAATAAACTATGGCCTGGGGGTAATACGATTTTCATTCTGAGTTTTTATTTATGTGTTCTTAACTGGAAAATGTCAGAGCCCTTTTTATACATTCGGGGTCTTCTGTCAGGGCCATTAATGAGCACCATGTGCCAGTGCTGAATTCTGAAGCTGAAAGTGGCACTTTTTTTTAAAACTGAGACTGATATTATCCTACTTAGATAAATTCCTATGTGTTTATTTATTTATTATATTTTGTAATTTTGGTCGTTTTCAAGCATCAGATATACGTACGGGAATGAGAAGCTCAATCCAGAGCAAATACATGCAGTAAAGTTTGTCTCTGAGATTCTATTCCACCAATGTTGCAGTTGAAAACAGGTGAACAGCCTGGGTAATACAATAAAGCAGCGGTCCTCAACCTTTTCGTGGAAGACAATTTTTCCACCGTGCGGGGCGGGGGCGGGGCCATAATGGATAGTTTCGGAATGAAACTGTTCCACCTCAGATCACCAGGCATTAGATTCTCATAAAGAGCGGACAACCCAGATCCCTCGCATGCACAGTTCACAACAGGGTTTGCCCTCCTATGAGAATCTAATTCTGTAGCTGATCTGTCATGAGGCGGAGCTCAAACGGTAATGCTCCCTTGCCCGAGGCTCTTCACCTCGTGCTGTATGGCCGAGTTCCTAAAAGTCCACGGACCGGTATTGGGCCACCGCAAGGGAGTTGGGGATGCCATGCCTGCATTAAAGGACTTTCCGAGGGTATTTGCGTGATTATCTGCAGCTTAGGCTTGCCTAAATACCAAATCATCCTTGTATAAAAGAAATCAAGGAGCAACTGAATTTTGCAGATGTCAGCAAGAATATTCCCCTATGCAAACAGGCAGGTGTGCAGATTGCCTATATTTCTAGGTGGAGAGCAGTAAAAGGCTCAACTGTATGTTGCATTTTCAGTGAGATTTGAATTCCCATGAGGAACCCAAAGACCAAGAAAGCGAAGAGCTGATAAGTGATAGTGGTTAAGATGCCTTTAAGAAAACTGTCTCTGGGACTGCTATTTGAACTACTGACATTGATGACTTTGAGTGGTAAAAACGCTTATAGGTGCATCTCCTTTCTAACCGAAGTATTAGTGTTTAAACTCTCAAGAAGAAACGATTGTTTATTTCAATATATCTACATGTACATTTTGCCACAGAGATTATTTTGACTATGTAGCTGGATATGGTGGCACGTGCCTGTAATCCCAACTACTCAGGAGACTGAGGTGGGAGGATTGCCTGAACCCAGGAGGTCAAGGCTGCAGTGAGCCATATTCACACCACTGCACCCCAGCCTAGCCGACAGAGTGAGATTCTGTCTCAAAAAACAAACAAACAAACAAACAAACAAACAAAAATGTACCCTGGTCAAATCTTGAGGAAATGTCCCTTAATGTATCCCTTCTCTTGGTCAGTAGCTATGGACATTATATATTAAAGACTGAAATAAGCCCTGCATCAAACGTATCTTCTTAACTTTGTTTAAGCAGCATTTTATAAACTTAATTATCCACAGAACACTCTTTTTCCAGGTATAACTATTAACATTCCATTAAATGTATTCTTCTGATGTTTACATTTCAAAAATAAAATTAAAAGGGTGGACTAGATGACATTTAAGGACACACCCAGCTTTAAATTTCAGGACCTCTGCTTTCTAAGAAACGATATAGCCCAGCTCCACTCCTTTCCACTGCTAACTAGTTTCAGTATTTATTATATCCAAGGGCAGAAGCTCCTCTACTTAGGACGTCAGTCTCCTCTGCTTTAATGCAAATCCCTTCTTCTTTCCTAGCTCCTCCTTGAACTTTGAGAGCCACTCCTAAGGCAGCTTCCTAATCAGAAATAACCTCTTTAATTAGTTAGAAGGCCACGAATGTCACGTGTCAGATTATCTCAAATACTTGTTAGTTCTTTGATGCATCCCTTAGAAGATCTATTCTCCCATCTTGGTGGCCTAATTTTCTTTTCTTTTCTTTTTTTTTTTTTTTTTGAGACAGTGTCTCGCTCTGTCGCCCAGGCTGGAGTGCAGTGGCACCATCTCAGCTCACTGCAACCTCCGCCTCCCGGGTTCAAGCAATTCTCTGCCTCGGCCTCCAGAGTAGCTGGGATTACAGGCGCCTGCCATTGTGCCCGGCTAACTTTTGCATTTTTAGTAGAGACGGGGTTTCACCATCTTGGCCAGGCTGGCCTTTAACTCTTGACCTCATGATCCACCTGCCTCGGCCACCCAAAGTGCTGGGATTACAGGCTTGAGCCACCGTGCCTGGCCCTAATTTTCTTATTATACGGCCTATGGATTTGAAAGTGGCCATAAGAAGAACAGAGTTGATGATGTAATAAACTCATGGTTGAAAAAATCAAGGAAATTATCTGACTCCTGAAAAATCTTTCCAAAGCATAACTGTTACAAACTACAGGCTCTTCTCCATTTTTCTGTCCCCAACCTCTGACCTTACTTCACATGGTGATCCAGGTTTATGGACCCCCCCCTTCCTGAAGCATTCCCAACCAGTCAAAAGAAAATTAGCCACTAGCCACACTATACCTCAAAAAGCTGGGGTAGGCCGGGCATGGTGGCTCACGCCTGTAATCCCAGCACTTTGGGAAGCTGAGGCAGATGAATCACCTGAGGTCAGGAGTTCGAGACCAGGCTGGCTGACATGGTGAAACCCCGTGCCTACTAAAAATACAAAAATTAGCCAGGCATGGTGGCACACGCCTGTAATCCCAGCTACTTGGGAGGCTGAGACTGGAGAATCACTTGAATCCTAGAGGCGGAGGTTGCAGTGAGCCAAGATCATGCCACTGTACTCCAGCCTGAGTGACAGAGCAAGACTCCATCTCAAAAAAAAAACAAAAAAAAAAAACGAAAAAAAAAACTGCTGGGGTAATACATGTGGATGGAAATGTAAGATGGGCTGTGGTGTGTCATAAGAAGAACTGGACCCACATTACTATTCACTAAACATTCCCAAGATTTCCAAGCTTCTTGGAGTTAATCAGTTGCATGGGACTGATTCTAGCTTATCAATGTGATCAGAACGAATCTGTGTCATTTGGGAGCTGCGACTGCAAAACACCATATGCAAATCTTTAGGATCTATTCTACTTTGCTGTGTGTCTTAAGGTGCGGGTACAAGATTGTGGAGACTCTGTCAGCCTGGATATTTCAAGGATTACATGGAGCAGAGCTCCCTACTCACCTATGTGGGACAGGTAGGCTGAGTGAGAAATAACTATTTGCTAGGACATCGTGGCCAGAGTTATTATCATAGCCTGATGATACATCCTACAATCTCCATTGGTTAACAATGATCTCCATCTCCACAGTGTGAAAGAACAGGAGACAGAACACTGCACACACTAAATGCCATGGAGAAGGAAGCTGAGTTTTAGGTATAGAGACAAAGCAGCTTCCAGTACCCATTTCTAATTGTGCCTTCAGGTATTCTCAACAGCCCCATTCCATATTCATGAAGTCCCATATTAAGGACCTCTCAAGATTGTGTTATAGATTCTTCACCTTGAGGGCCCCACTTGACAATCAAAGTCAACATTTTAGTGCCCAGAGTGGCTCGAATAAGGCAAGCAAACCCCCTTTCCTTTAAATAATTTACCCATAATAAGCCCTAATTCAGTGACACTGTCTGTATATAGATGGGTACAATTAGAAACAAAATCCTAAAAATAAATGTTCTGATTTCTCAAAAGGAAAATTTGCTAAAGCAATGTCAAATCCTTTATGATTTTATTTACTGCAGCCACATTCTAATACACTCTTCTCAAGAAAAGATTTTAAAAGCCAAAAATATTTTATCTACACTGTAGCTAATAATGTTATTAAAACATAGGACTTTTTAATTTTATCTTTTCACTATTACTTTCTTTAAGTAAATTTATTCTATAAGCAAAATGTAAAATAAAATTTAAAAATATATACAGAGCACATTTGCTTAGACTAGCCGCGCTATTAACATGAATCAGCTCATAAGGAGAAAAAAAAATGCTTTGCCCCCTATTTTGACAAGAGCAAGTAGAGTGTAGGTGAATTCAAGGGGGGAGGAAAGACATATAAATAACAATCTTTCAAACTTCTGTTCACGAATATTGTTTTTTGTCATCACAATTGCACAATGAAATATGAAAGTTCAATTTCCTCTTCATTTCCTTTTAATAAAACTTCTGTTCATTTCATTTCTGAGAGAAGATTGAATCTAAATTACTTTGACTTCTTTTGGCCTAACTTTGGTGATGCTACCAGACATGAAAAGGAGGCCTTTTTGAGTATCACCCACGGAAATAAAGAGGTATGGCTTCGATCTCTGTATTTAGCCCTGGCTCTTTCTCTTTTGCTATGTAGATCCTCTGCAAGATCAGTGAGTGCTGACTGAACATTATATTGCAATTCCTGCTCCACCTTTTAACCAGGCCACTTGCAGAAAGAAGAAATCTACAAAAGTTCCCTTGTTGGGTTTTTCCAATCTATTCTATAACAAATGCATTTCCTAATGATAGGGGAAAATGGAGTCCTCTTTGGCGAGGTGGTATTTGAATTTACATATGATGTTGGAAATGTTTTTGATGAACATTCACATTGCGGGTCTAATTGTGTTTCCAAAGATTATGTTGACGTTCTAACCAAGTAACTGAGAATATGACGTTACTTGGAGATAGGATCATTGTGGACATAATTAGTCAAGTTGAGGTCATATTGGAAGAGGGTGGGCCCCTAACCCAATGTGATTGGTGTCCTTGTAAAAAGAGGAAATTAGGACACAGAGAAACACACACCAGAAAAATGTCACGTGAAAACTGGATTTATGCTCCCACAGTTAAGGAACTACCAGAAACTAGGAGACAATTCTGGAACAGATTGTTTTCTAGCACTTTCAGAAGAAGAATGGCTGCACCAACACGTTGCTTTCAGATTTCTAGCCTCCAGAAAAGAGATACAGTAAATGTCTGCTATGTTACACCAGCCCTAGCCTAACTTTTGTTAGGCTAATACAACTAATACAACCCAGAATACCACAAACAACTCAACTGTCAATGGTTCCATGTTTCCTATGACAAAAACAAACAAACAAACATGAACTCCACAGTTTTCTTTGGCATGACTTTGAAACTCTTTTTACTGAACATATGTGCATTTGTTCAGCCTAACACTTCTTTCACATGGTTTGACCTTCAAAATTTCAAACCCTATTCTCCTAAAAGTACCTTCTTCTTTCACCTCAGGCCTTTGAAAATGGAATTCCCTCTAAAAATGATGGACCAGATGTGGTATGTGTACCATCATGTCCATAACAGAATCTGCTATTTTTGTCATGGTAATTTTTAGCAGTGAACCTAAATGCTATTGTAGAAACCTCCTCACCTGGGCCAACATTGCTAATCACCTGAAATTGGACTTAAATTTGAAGACCATCTAAAGCCATTTCTTAATATACAACCTTTATCCAATGCCTACTGTGTTTCAGGGACTATGTTTCTCCACTGGGAGAAATGAAGGGGAGTTTTTCATCTTCCTGTGGGAATCAGGAATGTTTACAGAGGACTTAGACTTCTTCCCATTGATGAATTAGAGTTAACCAGGAAAGCAAGAAGGAAAAGTGCTATCTAGGCCAAAGGGGGAGATTCCTGTGTAAACACAGAGTCTGAAAGTTCAGGTTCTGTTATCATAACAACGGAGAAAAGAAAAGGACTTGGGTCAAAGCCTTGAGACCCACAATGTTTAGAGGAAGAAGTAAAAAGAAACTCAGAAAAAAATTATTGAGATCAGTGGTCAGTGAGTAAGAAATAAGAGAAATGCACTGTCCTGTAACTCCCTCCAGCCTCACCCTAAAAAGAAGAGATGGGCTCTACCCAATCCAACTGAAAGACCAAGAAATATGGGGATTGAGAATTGGCCATTTGATTTTTGCAAAATGGAGATCACCGTTGATTGCAGAAAAGGCTATTTTGAGGGGACAATAGGACCCAAGCCTGCTTGCAATAGATAAGATAGTCACTGAGGTGAGAAAATAGAGACAATGATTGAGGAGGTGCATGTTCAGATGTTTTAATTTGCCATAAAAGGACACAGAGAAAAAAGACAGATGCTCAAGGGATTCATTGAATTAATATTTTTTCCTCTATCTTCCTTTAAGATGCAAAGGAAATTTGTGTGCTAACAAGTATAGAGAGGAAAGACATGACCATGCAGTAGAAAGAAGTAACTATAAGAACAAAGTCCTTGAACAGTCCACGAGGATGGAATCCAGTGATTAAATTTGGAGTTAAACTTGGATAGAGGCAAAAAGATTTGATCCATGGTAACAGGAGGAATGCAGTGAATATGGCTATAAATGCAAATAGCTAAATTTGATAGAAGGAAGACAAGGTTGTTTTCATATACATATTATAGTGGTTTTTGTTTGTCCTCAACGAAACAGTGATTAACTTCATCAAATGAAAGAGAGGAGAGAAAGTGGGCTTGGGGAGTTTGACATCCCCAATAGAGAGTAGATAAATAGAGATAAATAGAGAGGTATAGTACAAGTATCTGGCAGTCCTGAATGTTCCTTACAAATTTCACATTGCCTCAGTGAGCACAGTTCTGTTTTTCTATTTTTTTCCAGTTACATTCAGTGGTTACACTCTGTCACACAGTAGGTAGAGGTTGAAATTTAACCATGATTAGGATTTAGCCACACTTGTTTAATGATGGGAGGAATGGAAACAGACGATATATTTGAGAGATTGAACTAATGGTGGTCTATGTTCTCTATATTAAGGATAATAATAAACACATGAAGGATATGTACAGTGAAACATATTGTTGTCAATGGATTGGAGGTCTCAGTAAGGTGAAGGAATTTCTGGATTGGGGGTAACAGCATAAGTGATATGGAAAGACAAAATGTTGAGAGGAGTGCTGCACTTGAAATTAAGATTTTGCAAATGATGTGGTTATTAATGATGTCTCAAATATGATCATGGGAATGTGTTGCTGAGGTGGGAAATAAGAGGCTGATATAAGAATATATTCAGAGAGTCATAAGATTGGAGTATTGAATGAATAATTTATGTGAATATTGAACTTTCTAAGAATAATAAAACAGCAAAAGTGAGTAGTGTATAGAGATCTAATGGTAAAAATATTTAATGAATGATAAGAAGTGACTTCAGATAAGTATTTAATAAATAAAGGAATAGTGAGTAGAAGGATCTGATCTTATGTGCTTCAAAGGAACTCAGGTTTTGGAGGAGGAGGGAAAATAAATGGTTTGAATCAGTAACAAAAATCAAGAAAGAGGTCCATCCCACTTAAAGACCCTATGGTAATCATGGGGTGAGAAAAAAACAAAAAACAAAAAAACAGTTTGAGGCCGGGCGCGGTGGCTCACGCCTGTAATCCCAGCACTTTGGGAGGCCGAGGCGGGCGGATCACGAGGTCAAGAGATGGAGACCATCCTGGCAAACATGACGAAACCCCATCTCTAGTAAAAATACAAAAAATTAGCCGGGCTAATATGTATATGTTATCTATACATTACATATTATCTATAGTAGATTTTATATATAGAGAGAGAAGATACCCACATATAGAAAGTGACATATGTATGTGTGTATATGATGTGTATGTATGATGTGTGTGTGTATGTGTATACACACAATGCTATCAACAAGAAAACACTGAGAAAATATTGTACTCATCTGATTTTTTCTGAGGAATCTACAGATAATGAGCTTCAGACAACCAAAATAATTGAAAAGACACCACTCCTTACGCTGATGTATTTCTGGTTGTTGGGTTATCTGAAGCTTATTACCTAGTAGATTCCTCAAAAATAGATCAGATGAGTACAATATTCCCTTAGTGCTTTCTTGTTGATAACAGCTTGTCTGTATTTTTTTATACCTGAATGTCAGTTTTGCTGGATATAAAATTATTGAAGCTTACATTCTTCCTTTGAGTGTATGTGTTACTCTCTTTTATCCTTGCATAAAGTGTTGTCTTCACGAAGTCTGATGATGATCTATTTTCTTTCTCTGTAAGTCGTCACTTTTTACCCTTTTTCACAGCAACAATGAGTAGTCTTCACACCAGATTGTGTTCTTGGAAAGTTATTTCTCAGAAATAAAAACTAGAGCTGGAAGAAATACTTTATCTCATTTCTGGTGCAGAAAATGTACAGGATGTACTGGGAACATCAGCTCACACTCTGGTATGACAACATATCAAGGAAGGCCATTAAAATCATGGCCAAAAAGATTTAAAGCCCAATTTGAAGAGGCTCCCAGTGCCCAAAGATAAAACTATAAGAGTTTTCATGATGATACTAAACTAACTGCAATGGACAGAAGAACACATTGAGCTGTATCATGAGTATGTGATCAGCACAATTCAGATCGGATTATATGTCAAATGACTTGGGTTTTTAATCACATAAAATATAGGGAAAGAAAAGAGATGCAGAAGAAACCTGTACATAAAAGGCAGACTTAAAAGATATGTCAAATTAAGAAAAAATTGGCAATAAAAAATTACAGTGCCTGGGGATGCATATGTGGATCATAAAAGTAGAAACCACAAGAAAGTGATTGCTATAAAAGTCAAGATAATGGTTACTTATGGCAAGAAAGAGGGTTTGTAATTGGACAGAGCATATGAAAAGAGTTTCTGGAGTGATTACAAAGTTCTCTCTGTGAACCTGGGTAGTATTCATCTTATAACAATTCACTATGCATTTAACTTGTGTGCTTTTCTTGACCTATATTTTATAATGGAAATATACTTAATAAGTTCTTGAAAATATATACTTTAATTACTTGAGAAAGCTGCAATAAAGTAGTATCCTCATCAGAGTCCATTCAGAATAAAATTAGAGCAAGAAAGTGAAGAAAACATTTGGAGACAAGTAAGGCGGTGGAGATTTGCTGCTGACAGACTGTGAGTTCCCAATGGCTCAGTGAAGAGTTGTGCATTGGTTGTCATATGTCAGGGTGCACCATGTTGACATGAAGGACATGCAAAACACAGGTAGCTCAGCCCCAGCCTAGAGCTTTGGATTTCATGAGACTGGGTAAGGCCTTAGAATGTGCATTTTAACTAGTTTCCAGGCAATGCTGATGTTGCTAATCTGAAGATGGCTCTTTGAGAATCACTGGGTTATGGGATCAGGAAGAGAGGGGAACTTGAGTTAGATTAATGGCTCTGTGGACAACTGGAGGCCTTGCGACTAAGGCAGGCAGAGATAAGAGACATCATGAAATTGGTTCTAATGGTGTCTTCTAGACAGGTGGATTAAAAATCTATCAATATAGTACAGCCTATTTGTTGAACATGTTCCTAAAAACACTGGGTGAAACGACAGAGTTGGCCACAGCCATAGGTGATCACCAGAGTGCCAGGGCCCTACAGCGTCAACTTGAGTCTTTGGTGGATCAATATCTCAAACCCACTTGTAAACTCATCTTTAGCACAATAGGAAAGAAGCCTTGCCTTGGCGTTTGTACTTGTGAGGAGACCAAGACAAGGCTGGCATTAGGAGAGTGGTAGACCTCTCTTGAATGCAACTATCTCTCTATGTTTGAGATGCAGTCTTGTTTTTATTCATGTCCATCACAACATTCTCCAGCCTTGTTAAAGAAATAGGCATTTAGGATTCCTATGTGACTATAGGTCCCAGCTTACTAATTACTTACTACTGATCACTTACAATTTAATTTGTCTTAACTTTCTAGGCTCCCATTTTAGAATAATAATGATTTTCACTATTGATGGTAGGGTAAAAGACAGTAGCACATGTCTGACTCTTGGCCACATTGGCTCAAATGTTTATAAAAATCCTGCGAGACTGGTAATACTAGTGTCATAGAAAGAAAATGAGAATCTCATGGAATTTAAAATGGTTGTTAAAGTTTTCATACATGATTACTGAGAAAAGTACTGATGATAAAGCCAGTTCTGTCTGATTTCAAAAGTTATTCAGTTGATGTCCTGCCTTTAGAATCCGAATAGTAGTACAACACAGTGAAAACTACAAGGCAGGTAATACTAACTTCATATTACCGATGAGGAAATTGAGTCTCAGAGAGAGTAGCTGGGTTCAGATAATGCAAACAAACAGGTAGATAGATGGGTATTTAGATAAACGGAAACACTTACTGCACATATCCCATGTGACTAGCATCTCTCTGTGCATTTTTCTACAATGTATTCCCATTAAACCTCACCTCCAGAAAGCATGAGTTAGGTATTCAAATACTTGTCAAACAGATGGAAAACAGACTCACAGAGGTTTATCCAATGTCACTCAACTAGTCCTTAACTATTACTGCATTTACTTAACTGATAACTTAATGAATGGACTTGCACCTCATTTTTTATTCCGTCTATTCTGTTCTAGTCTCACTCATACCTTTTGTCCACAGTCAGCTCTTTGAAGCTTTCTGACCTTGAAAACAAAACAAAACAAAACAAAACAACAACAACAAAATAGCAAACACCCAGAACCTTAGAACCCAACTCTTTTGTTATAATCTTAAAACAAATTACCTCCAGAATTATTTTAGCTTTAACATTTTCTGTGATTAGGTTTATTTGGAAGAGAGGTTGAGGCACTGGGGAATGGAAATCAAGCAATGCCTCCAAGCATAATTACAATTTGCTTACTTAAAGGAAAACCTACCAAAGCCAATGAACACAGAGGAAAAAAACAAATCACTATCAAAGGATGCAACTCAGATAGGAACCAATTCAGAACTCGTTGCTGATGTCAAGGTAATCAATAATATTTATCCTCAGGGCAGAAGAAAAGCTGATCTAGAGCAAGGATGACCAAGGAGAAAACAGTCAAAAAAATCCTACATTCTGAATTCTGGGAAGGCTCTCAGGATATAGGATCTTCCCCTAGATAACAGGGATCTTTTAAAAGCCAATTTTCTGCTTATAAATACTCATTTCATTCATTTGTTCATTCATTCATTCACTTAACTATTGGTAGCCTAGGTTGGTAGAAGGGGCACAGGGTATGACATATCAGATATTAGGATTTAAGACCTGACTTTAGCACTTACTGGATTTGAACAAGTTACTTCTAATCATGAGTCACAATTTTTTTAACTGAAACAACAGATCGAGTAATACCTGTGAATTGCCTTGAGGGTCAAATGAGAGAATACAGACAAGGTGATTTAGCAGTCCGTAAATATTAGCTATTAGTAATATTATTACATAAGCCATTTCATTATGTGCATCTGTTACAATGACTGAATTTTTCAAACTAAACTTTATCCTCATGTTCCAACTTGCATGAAGGTCCTCATGGGGAAGATGAGAGAGAAAACATTAAGATCAAAAATACTTCAGAAAACGCAAGTGGGAAGGTCCCTGCAGCTCTGGCCCTTGACCCACTATCACTGACTGCAGGATATGATGCCTGCCTGAGACATTTGCTGTAATTAGTACTGAAAGGGTCCCTGGGGGCTTCAAATGAGGCTGCTGAATCCACTTTCCTGTGTGGCTGACTTCCATGGGTTCAGGCCGTTGGCCAAAGGAGGCAGATGTGGAGGGGCACATGCCTTTCTCAGGAAGAAGTGAACATATGAAAAGAAGAAAGGAAGGGGATGTCAGTGGACTTCCTAATGAGGTCCCTTCTTGTTGTGAGCCCTCTGGGCTGAGGAATTACTGTGCAGATCATTTGCTAATGAGCACAGCCATAGCCATAGAATGACTTTTAAATGTTCAAAGAATTTGGGATAATTCTACTGTGTGCCTTCCCTGACTTGGTGTGCTGAGAAACAAGATGATATATTTCAAAATGCAAGTCCTAGAAAAGACAATGGTACTGAAAGGAAATTTGGGAAACAGTGTAAAACTGTAAATTCCTTTATTTCTTTTAAAAAAATTTTTAGAGACAATGTCTTACTCTGTCAAGCATGCTGGAGTGCAGTGACAGGGTCGTGGCTCTCTGGATCCTTGAACTCCTAGGTTCAAACCATCTTTTCCCCCTTCAGCCACCCAAAGTGCTGGGATTACAGGCATGAGTCACCACACTCAGCCTAAAGTGTATATCTCTATCTATCTATGTATCTATATATCTATCTAAACATCATATACACACACACACACACACAAACATATATATATATATATATATATGTCTCTTTTTGAGACAAGGTCTGGCACTCTGTTGCATGATCTCACCTCACTGCAACCTCCACCTCCCAGGCTCAAGCCATCCTCCCACCCTAGCCTCCCAAGTAGTTGGGACTATGGGTTCATGCCACCACACGCAGCTAATTTTTGTATTTTTTGTAGAGACAAGGTTTTGCCATGTTGCCAAGGCTGGTCTCGCACTCATGAGCTCAAGCGATCCACCCACCAAGGCCTCCCAAAGTACTGGGATTACAGGCGTGAGTTATCATGCCCAGCCAGGTGTATATTATTAAGAAAGGTTATGGAAATTCACCCTTTGTACATACCGTGGGTTTCAGAGAGATAGCTCTTCCTCAGAAATCCATGATTAGCACCTGTTAAACTCTGGCCCAATTGCCACTTTCTATGCCCCACCCCCAGTAGTTAAATACTGAGGAGGGATTTTCTTCTTTATTCATGGATGCTTAGTGAATACTAAATAGATATGGTGCTGAGAGTTTATATTGCTCCTTCCCTCTACCCTCCTTTTCTCATTGCTTCCTTCTTTTGAATTGCATACATCTTAGGTAGCATATTAGTAAAAGATGTAAAACATATCAAAGCAATCTCTAAATACCTTTCCTAACATTGACAAATTTGTCATTAGAACTGGATATCTGGATTATCTTATTTCTAATTCATTTTTATTAAACACAAATGTATGCACACATCTACACTTTGACCTTGTATGTTCAACTTTTTGGTAAGACAGAAAGCATTTTTCATGGTTCTCTAAGTGCTTGCAAGTTTATCAGCAAACCATGCACATTCAATCACACTCTTCTAATGAACTGCTGCTGTCAATTTAGTTCTCATAAACACACAAGTGAGGCAACATAGAGAGTGGTGATTCCTAAGACCAGGTCTGTGATACCCCAGGGTGTCTCCAATTATTTCCAGGTGGGGCTTGAGGATGTCATGAAATTTTCTGACAAAACTAATTTTAATCCACTTTAATTTGCAAAATTGCAGTCCACGAAGCACTTTGATTAAGAAGGACATTTCAGAAAATCAAGTGAATCACAGTAGGGTATTGCAAATGGAAAAACAAACAGAAATCGTTGGTATAGAAATTCATAACTAATTACTTTCTTTTCTGCTTTTTATCCACAGAGCATGTGGTGGCTCCTATCGTGATCCCAATAGTTGTGTAGATACTAAGGTGTTAAGCGAAAGAAAATAAAGAAATCCAATATTTATTGAGAATTTTCAAGGTGCAGAGGTATAAGAGAAGTTTTGCATATTGCACTCATATCATCCCTAAAACATCCTTATGAGGTGGAACCAATGTGGACTATTTTACCAAAAAGGAAACTGAGGGTTTAGAGTGACTAAATAATAACCTATCAGCCCAAAGTTGATAAAGCAAGAAGAGGGAATCTAAGCTTGGATCTTCTAATTCCAGAGCCCATATTTTTTTTCATTAATGTTTTCAGAAAAAGAATATGAAACCCCAAAAAGACAGCATGGTCTGGTTGAGAAGAAAAAACACTTGACAACTCAAGGACAATTAAATAAATACAATACAATATAAGAGCATCAATTTTTCTTTTAAAGAAATAAAAGCATATGAGATGTTAATGTAAACTAGTGGAAATAAACCAAGGTTTTGTGAACTAGTATACTTAAGACCTTGAATAATTAGTTTAAATTGGAAGACATAGAGAATAGAAATGGCATTGTAAATCAAGGAAAAGGTAGGAGCAATTAGTTGGATATGAAAAAACCCACCTTGGTTACAGGGAGACTGGGTTGCCCAGAGTGGCCAATTTGTGTAGGGAATCTGTCTTATTAAGTCGAATGTGGCCAGACTCAAGGAGACCTGTGAAACTTTGGAAGACAGTTGCCTCTCACTTCATCTAGTTGTTTTGTTTTGTTGATGTTGTTGTTTCTATGTATATATTACCTACCTATTCTGTGTCAAGCACAAGAGAAAGCCAGTTAAGAGCCTTGTACTAGGTGGAAATTTATTGTCTGTGTTCCAGTTCTAGCTTAATCACTGCAATAATCCATTTTCACCTTGCTGATAAAGACATACTTGAGACTGGGAAGAAAAGGAGGTTTAATGGACTTACATTTCCACATGGCTGGGGAGGCCTCACAATCATGGTGGAAGGCAAGGAGGAGCAAGTTACATCTTACATAGATGGCAGCAGACAAAAAGAGAGCGTGTGCAGGGAAACTCCCAATTTTAAAATCATCAGATTCTGTGAGACTTATTCACTATCACAAGAATAACACAGGAAAGTCCTGCCCCCATGTTCAGTTATCTCCCACTGGGTCCCTCCCACAACACATGGGAATTATGGAAGCTACAAGACAAGATTTGGGTGGGGACACACAGCCAAACCATATCAATCACATACCTATTATAAAACAGGTTACTAAGCCTTTGTTACATATCTGTAATTAAGCAGGTTACCTGATCCAAAATGTGTTCATACATTAAAATGATACCATAATGCAATATTGATATAACTGTTATAATTATAACTTATAACCCTGGTCTTTTGACAGAATGTCAGACCTTTAAATTCAACTGTCTACTTGACATCTCCATTAGATGTTTAATAAACAATTCAAACTTATTTTGCCACATAAAACTCTTGATTTCATTTTATTCACAAAACAAAACAACACAAAATAGAAAACAAAACTTTATCATCCCAAGTTTTTTCCCATATTAGCAAGTGCCATACTCATTTAGCTAATTTTTCCAAGCGAAGACCTAAGACCCATCATTGATTTCTCTTTTCATTACACTCAGCATCCAATCCATCCACAGGCCTGTCAACTCTACCTTCACATTCCATCTAGAATTTTTTCACTGTTTCATTTTTCTCCATCTCTAGAACTATCAGATTACTCCAAATCACCACCATTTTTTTTTGGCTTATACTACTACCTTGGACACATAATTGGGTTTCTTCTTCCAATCTTGACTACTTCTGATCAATCAATTGTCCAAAACATAGCTAACATGCCCTTTGAAAAAAACATAAGGCACCATCTTTAAGAGCTTTTGGTGTCTTCTCATCATTCTTAGAGTGAAATTCTATTAGTCTGTTCTCACGCTGCTAATAAGAGTAGGAAATTTACAGAGGAAAGAGGTTTAATTGACTCACAGTTTCACATGGTTGGGGAGGCCTGACAATCATGATGGAAGATGAAGGAGGAGCAAAGGCATGTCTTACATAGTAGCAGGCAAAGAAAAGCTGTGTAGGGGAACTCTCCTTTATAAAAAAAATCATCAGATCTATTAAGACTTATTCATTATCACAAGAACAGCAGGGGAAAGACCCTCCCCCCATGATTCAATTACCTTCTGCCAGGTCCCTCCCAGGGCACATGGAAATTATGGGAGCTACAATTCAATATGAGATTTGGGTAGGGACACAGCCAAACTGTGTCAGAAATCTAAATCTTATTTCTCAACCTCAGGCTCCTGTCTTTCTCCAATATCATTTATTAATCCATATATTTTCCCTCTCCATGCTTCAGACTTACTGGCCCTTTTCCTGTTTCTCAGGCTTGCTGAAGTCATTCCTGCTACTCTGGGGCCTGGGTACCAGCTGTTCTCGCTCCCTAGAATGTTATCCCCACTGATCTTTACATGTCTGTCACTTTCTTGCCATTCAAGCATTAATGCAAATGTCATGTCCTCAGAGAGGCATTCTCTGTGCCCAACCTAAAGAGGGTGGCCAGTTGTTGTCTGTCAAACAATCCCCTTTAGTTGATTGCATTGTACTTAGCATTATTGAGCTTTTTTCTTACATATGTCTTAGATGTTCTCATATTTCTTTTTTCTCTGACTTCACTAGAATAAAGCTGCATGAGGAACAAGAGACTTTGCCTTCTTGTTCACTATTTTGTTCCTGCCCATAGCAGTGCATCTGACAGTCAGCACTTGCTCAACAGATACTTCCTGCATTAATAAAATAATAACCCAATGTTTGAATAGGAGTTTGTCATGAAGAATGTACTTTTTTTGTAGGCAGGCAGAAATTATTTGAGTATGCAGGCTTATTTGAGTAGGGCGTGACTTGAACTTGGACGTAATTTGAGTGGCTGTATAAGAAAGATAGAATAATGGATTCAGTACACTGGGCTCAGAAAGAATGCAGCAAATAAAAAGAAGCTGAAGAGAAATATTGTAGATAAATGTGGAAACATTCAGTGACTGATTACTTTGAAAGGTTTCTGCTTTCTGGCCTAGAACTCATGTAAGTACAGAAAGTTTAAGGTGGAGAGATTCCATTTGGCGGAAATACCAAAGATGATGCCCCTTAGAACTGACATGGTGCATTGAAAGAAAGATATCCTGTAGGGAATTTATTGACTTCACACTTTGGGAAGACCCAAACACAAGGTACTGATTTTGGCAAATGTGGTAAATAGAATTATTGTTCAAAAATATTTACCCATTTCCCGTGATTCTATATGAAGAATGGACTTCTCTGCCCCTTAATTTTGGACCAGTCATGTGACTTTTTAAGAAAAATATAGACAGGATGCAAGAGGTTTGAAATGTGATTGGAAAGTAGGGGTTTTCATCTTATGCTTCTGCTTTGAGAAGCTTAGCTGCTGTTCTGAGAATGATGAAGGATATATGAGAAATATTGGATCTAACCCACATCCTAAAGCCAAGCCCAGCTGAATTAAATCTAAGCCAACTGAACCCCAACCAATGTGAAGACATGTGAGCAAGAATAAATAATTGATTTTTTCATTACACTGAGTTTTGGACTGGCTTTTTAAGCAGAGTTGTGGCAAGGTATGATTGATAAAGATTACCAAAAAAGATAAAGAGTGAAAACTGTTTTTGAAAACTGAACTTGCTGAATAAAAAAGCATAGAAAATTGGAAGCAAATAAGTAATGATAGAGGACTGAAATATTTCATTTGAAAATATTTAGTAATTTTCTTCATTCATCTCGATGTAAGTTCTCCCTTCTAATATTATTTTAATTCATTCACTGATTCACTTTTTTATTTATTCATGTATTCAAAAATATATATTGACTGATATAGGCATTTATATGCCAGGATTATAGTAGAAGTCAAGCTATAGTGTACATTATAGTCTCAATATCCAGAATGTCTAATAAACTTTTCTGCAAACTCTTCTAGGATGTATAACTATATCTTCAGACTGTCTACCATGCATCAGATCTGTATTTCAAAATGTCAGCATTACCTCCTGGATGTCCCAAAGGTGTCTTAAACTCAACATATCCAAATGCTAGTTTATTAGCTTTCTTATCTTTCAACCAGCAATCTACTCCATTTCATGTTTTTCCCATCTGTAAATCTGTCACCAACTTACTCAAGCCAGGAAATCTGGAATTTTGATTTCCTCCTTCTTCTTCTACTGCATTCCCAATCAGCATTCCCACACCATCAAGTCTGTTTGCTAAATGTCTCTTCCCTCCGGGCGATACTCCCTTCTCAATCCCATATCATCATTACACTTGCAAAGGTCTCTCACTGCATTATAACTAAATATATCTTCTCTCTGGACAATAATCTCTTCTCAATCCCATATCATCATTACACTGCAAAGGTCTCTCATTGAATTAAAACAGACATTTTTTGTGTATGAAAAATAAATTATAGAAAAATTATATGAGGCTTATACAATTGCCAGTACAAGTATATCATTAGCTTTTCTCCAGCTAGAAAATTCATGTTCATCTGCTAAATGCCAGCAGAAATGCCATCTCTATGTTGAGGATGAGTATTGCAAGGCATTTGAGGTGGAAAGGATTGAGGTCTAAGGAAAAGTAGATATTTCTCCCAGCAGTTTGTTTTATGAGCCAAAAGAGGAGAAAGGATGGGGCTAAAACAGAATACTTGTATATAAAATCATTTCTCATTTCAAAACTTTAAAGGACAACCCAGAAATTGGAGCACTAAATTTATTTTTTCTTAATTCCTACCAAATATTTTAAAACAAGTTGCCTGACAGACTAGTTTATTTGCAAAAGAAAACACCAGACCTCAGAACCTCAATTTTCCTTATTAAAATAAATGAATTTTGGCTTTGTTTGTACTTAATCTTGGCTGGAAATTTATATTACCCAATCAGGAGTTAACAAGCCCCGCAGGGAAAATCAAGTGTCGCATAAAAATTCCACAGGAAATCCACCAATAACTCAGGGCAGACTAGGCTGTATATATGGAGATTTCTAGCCCTTCTAAAGTCTATTAAAAACCTTTAAATTCTGCTTTAGACAAAACATAAAGGAGGGTTGGGAGCTCTGTCATTCCTGAGAGGCCCTTCAATTTCCACATGCTAATATTTAATCATTAAAACTGTCTATATATTCAAAATTTAGTCATTTAGGCCTGGTGTATATAACACATTAATTTTATATAAACTCTAATTCTGACATGGGGTAGTTTACATAGAGGGAAATAAAATTCTCTGGAGCTGAGCACAGAACATCCCTCTTCTACTCATCCTTTATTAAAAGAGAGTTGTAAAGATGGTTTAAAATGGCATTTGGAAAGCAGCCCTGGATGACATCTCTTCTACCTTTCTGCCAAAATACCTGTGAAGATAGCAACAGAGGTAGGAAATCATATCTTTGAAAGCTAGACGTGACTATTTTGCAAGCAGAATTTGAGAGGAATTTTGACTAACCTCAAGTCCAACGGAAAAAAAAAAAATGGAAAAAAACCACTAGAACTATAGATTATGCGCATTTCCCAAAAAGTAAGTAAGAGGATTCCCGATTGCTCCCATCATTCTTTGGTCTTCATTTCATGAGTTCATATTTTATAATATGACAAATGTCAGACAAGCTGTTATCCATCTTACCCGCAGCATTCCATGCCAATTTGTCATTTGATTGTGTGTGCATGTGTATCTGTGTGTCTGTGTAAGTATGTGTGGCTTTCTAAATGCTGTTTAATTCCCACCCCTTGTAAAAATTTCCATTCAACATCAAAGACAGTATAGAACTCAAAGAAGGCAACTAGACAGAAGTAAAAGGAAATGTTGGGCAATTTCATTCCTGGAGATAGAAACAAGACATTAGAAGTAAAAGCTGTGTCCAAGTCTTTTTTTTCTTTTTTTTCCCAAGGAGAAAAAAGTCCTTTTATGAGTTGATCCAGCTATCAATTTTCACCTTCTCCGCCCATTTGGAGCATTAGAAAACCAGGTTCTGGGGACAGCAAACAACCACTTCTTGTACAGTAAAGTTGAGCTCTGTAGCAGGAGACGTCACATGGACTTTGAAAATGAGGTTCACCAGCAAGCATTCAAGTGAACAGGGAGGTGAAAATAAATCCACATCCTCTGTCTATTGTCAAATGTCAAAAATAAAAGCAATAGAATCAAATATGAGCCTGAGGCATCTGTACATCAATGCAGGAATTAAGAAAATAAAATATTATCTTGAAGAGCCAATGAGAGGAAGAACAGGCCTTCCCTATTCATAAAACAAGTTACTGAAGAAGGGAGACTAGATATATTACATGTATAATTGACACTCAGTCCAGCAGTGGCTTTATGGCAGGAATAGACTTTGCCTTACTTATGTGGTTTTAAAATATGAAACTTCTCATCCCCTCTGGCCCTTTTTAGAAAAGAATTAGAAAGTTTTAAATTATTCTGAGTTTGGTGGTAGTGAATGGAAAAGGGAGCCATGTTAAGTCTTAATTCTAAGGAAAGTTTTCTGGACTGAGAATAAGGAGGTCAGAACAAACGTGATGTCTCTTCTCTTCCTAAGATTCTTAAATTACTGATAGTTGCATGATTCCCATGTTTTAACATTCTTTCAATTGAAAATAATATTAATGCTTTAATTTTTTATTTTCAAGGTTTTTAAATTGGAAACTATGCAGATGGGATGGAATGGCTGTTATATGAGTAGGCCTCTCATTTGGGGCTAGTCCCTTACTTCTCTGTCTCCATTTCCACAATGTTGGAGGCAATGATAGAACTTGGTGGGTGGTTTTCATCTGTGGCATGTGGCATTGAGGGGCTTCTAGAGTGAGGTTTCAGAGACAGGGAATTAGACAGGTCCCAAATCCCCATCCTTGCTTACCAGGGCAGTTCAGCATTCATCTGTTTTACACAGTGGCCTTCTGGATGAGAATGGGTCCTACGTTTGTTTTATTTCCTGTTATTTTTTACCAAAAAGGAAAATCACTGGACCAAATGCCCATGCCATTGAGTACTTTCAATTGTTTAGATAGATAGATGATTGATTGATTGATAGATTGACAGTTATCTATCGATATAGATAGATAGATAACTATAGATAGTACCTATGGATATAGGTAGGTAACTATCTATAGATAGCTATTTATAGATAGATAGATAGTTATCTGTCTATATCTCTCTATAGCTATAGGTAGATAACTATACTTTCAATGGTAATGTAGATATCTATCTATACATAACATCTATCTACAGATGTATATAGATATCTATGTTGATCTATCTACAGATAGAGAGAAATAGATCTACAGATAGATGTATATAGAGATAGATAGAGCTCTATATAGAGATATATAAATAGAGACAAAGATATACAGTAGAGATAGAGATATATAGACCTATATAGAGTTATCTATCTATATCTATCTATATACTATAGTTTGCTTCCTTTCAGTGTACTCTTTATAGTCACAGTAAGATCAGACTAGTTTGCTCAAACGTATCTAATTAGCCTAGCAGTGTTAAAGATGTAATCTAGACTAAATTCCTGATTTCACACTTTTGGTCTCAATACAATAAATTCTCATTCCATTTTCCTAGTTTTGAAATTTAAAATATTCTGAAATCCGGTTCTTGACAATGAAGGATACTGGCAAGAAGAGTTTTTTGGTTCATTTGCTTCTAACACTATTCATGTAGGAAACTTTCCCTACCTTAGATTTGACAGAATAAAGTGTGGGAAAATGTGCTTCTATTTATCTGACTCAAAAATATTGAAATAAAATTAATAATGGGAAAAATCAACTATTGAACAATTACAGAATAGAGTATCCTTTATTCAAATCAATGGAATTCAAGGACTTCAGGCTTTTCTATTTTTATCATAAATTTCACTTTAATGTCTAGATATAGCTGATTAGGAAATGTGGAGTGTAGTTTAAAAGAAATACAGCAGCAGCGAGGGCCTATTGAAAGATCTCCTTGAGATATGTTAGCTAAAGCTCTATCTAGATAACTCATAAATTTTTGGAGGGAAATTGATTTTGTTTTCTATTTACTGCTGCAGTAAATAATTTTATGGGTTGGAAACAATTCCTATGCAAAGTCTTCAGTATATATTTAAAAAGAATAGAATTTTTCTCTTGCAGAGGTGTGATATCACTCATACAACTGTAATACTCTGTCTTCAATTAAAATAAAAGCCCCGTCCAAACCATTTTGGATGCTACATATATTATAATGTAATTTTATTCTGGAAGGTGTAATATAACTAAAATGGAAAGCAAAATAAGAGAATAGACAATACAGTGAAATAAGATTGCATCCGTCTATCCATCAACCCAACATACATCGTTTTCACATCTTCTTCTTGTCCCGCCCTGGGCTGACTGCTTAAGACACAAACATTAATCCTATATATGATTCCTCAAAGAGCTCATAAGATCATAAGTGAGGGGCAAAAATACTGTACCCCTAGTATAATACGTGAAAAATACGTGATGAATAGAAACATATGTAGACATATGTTGAAATGTAGGTGACTAGAGTCTGAGCTGTAAGCAGAAAGCTTGAAATTGGAAACAACATTGTATTGATTGTAAGGAAGTGCTCCTTGGTTTGAGACGTACCTAGATTTTAAAATCCCATTTTAGCCACTTCCAGCTGTGGGACACTAGTCAAATTCCTCTCATCTCACAACTTTAGATCTCCCAGGTATGAAAATGGGGAGAAAATAAGTTTCACCCAAAGATTTTATGGGCATAAAAAGATATAAAAATAATTGCTGATATTGCTGGGCATACAGGAAATTTCTGAGAGACATTATTCATTTTCCCTCCCTCATATTTATAAACTTACCAGTTGAAGAGGCAGCATCAATGGGTGTAAATGCATCAAGTTGTGAATTGAAAGCATGTGGCAGGATCCAGGGCTGGCTGGATTCTCTGTAGTGAATGAGCATGTTTCCTAGGAGTCAAGCCAATGTAGCGGGTAGGGTGTAGGTCAGAGAAGTTAGGGTTGAATTTTCAAGCACCTTGTGTACCATGATGAGTTTTTTTAAAATTTTATTATTATTATACTTTAAGTTTTAGGGTACATGTGCACAATGTGCAGGTTTGTTACATATATATTACTTTTGTTCATCTACTTTAAATATAGAGATGGAATGATATTATGAAAATAATTCAAAATTGTTTCATGTGCTAAACTTTTCTAAATGCCAATATTAAAACTCAGTACTGTTCTTTGTATAAGAACATATATCAAACTTAATTCTAACTATATTAAATTACTAAATACACAATTCAAGCATTTATTTATTATCTATATTTGTTTTTTGAGAAAGGATCTCACTCTGTCACCCAGGCTGGAGAGGAATGGTGCAAGCTTGGCTCACTGCAGCCTCAATCTCCTGGGCTCAAGTGATTCTCCTATCTCAGGCCCCAAGTAACTGGGATTACAGGCACACACCACCAAGCCCGGCTAATTGTGTGTGTGTGTGTGTGTGTGTGTGTGTGCATTTTTCATAGTGATGGAGCTTTACGATGTTGTCCAGGCTGGTCTCAAGCTCCTGAGCTCAAGCAATCCACCTGCCTCGCCTCCTAAAATGCCAGGATTACAGGTGTGAGCCACCACGCCCAGTCCAAACATATTTTTTTAAACTAAAAAGCAAATATACGTAATGAATACATCATGGAGGGGCTAGACTTTTCTATTCATGCAATAAAATAACATAGGAAAAATTGAGAGTTTTGACTCCAGAGTATTAGAAATTTTTCATACACTGAAAAATAAAAATCAATTCAAAGATCAACTGAATTGATAGACTACAGCTCTACGTGTGTTAACACAGTTTGAGAGAGCTGTTTTCTTACCTTTTCTACACCATGCACACATTCAGCCGCCATGGCCCTTCTTTAAATGCATAGTAAATGTAAAAAGCAAGATCATTAATGTCATCCTACTAATCTGCGATCATGGGGGAGAGCATAGGAACAAATATTAGTTTTTTAGACTGAATAATGCAAATGTTTACATGAAAAAAGCACAGAAATATATTTCTCAAATGCAGTTGTCTAATAACACTCGGCAGGGCATTTCTCTATTAATATTTGGCAGTGCAGACTGAGATGGTATATGTTTATCAAATTATATTGCCACAACTTCAGGGTCCTAATTAAAAGCAAGTTTTCTATTTACTTTAGTTCTTGGCTAATTTTGAAGCTTATCCTTGGCATTTATCTTAAAAATACAAAATTAGCTGTATTGGAATTAATGACCTAGAATCCACTACTATTTATTGAGTGCCAACAGAACTGAGAACTGTGCAGGCTGTTTTGATGTGTGTTTTATTGTTGAATCTTTAGAGAAGGCTGTAACACAGGTGCTTTCATTGGAATGAAGATGAAGAAACTGAAAGTTAGAGAGATGGAGTTAAATAAGTTGCTTAAAGTAATCTAGCTAGGAGGAATTCTTTTCCAGGTTCTTACCCAATTCCTAAATTCTAATGTCCACT
Source organism: Homo sapiens (assembly GCF_000001405.40). Lineage (NCBI taxonomy): Eukaryota > Metazoa > Chordata > Mammalia > Primates > Hominidae > Homo > Homo sapiens. The sequence continues at coordinate 64,692,831 of NC_000016.10, forward strand.
TACATCCCACATGACTGCTTTAGGAAGATTTAATTTATGGCAAAGATCATACAACAACATTGGAAATAGACTAAAACCAGCGATCCTTCCTTTCAAAAGTAGCAATGACCTTGACTGAGGGGTCTTGTTATTAGACAATGCCTTCAGTCTCTGTCTCAGACAGGTAATTCTACCTCTGTAAAAATGTGTATCTCACTTATATCATTTAATCTAATTAGTAATACTGAGGATTGAGTGTCTCAACTTTTGTTATAAATTAGCATAATCTGGAGGGTTTAAAAAATGCTAGAATCCAGGACTGTCTCATAAATCCAGACATAAATGCTTGGGGCTGGGGCTGAAACATTGGCATTTTCTTTATCAAGGCTCCTCAGGTGTTTATGATGTGCAATCAAAATTAAGAACTACTGTTCTAGGTCCTTGGATATTTCAACAGCAGAAATTGGGGTTTGTGAGCTATTTTTCATGTTTAGAAAAATCTACTCGTATTTATACTACCCTGTTTAAATAAAATAACAAGCTTTTTTCTCCTTTTTTTTGGTTGAAATTACATAAAGTCACTGTGGTTAGCTTGTGCTGGTAAGGAACTCTGGTTGAAACATGTGTCCAGATTAATAATCATAAGAAAAAAAAGGAGCTGTTAATAGATGCAGTTTGTCTGATAAGCAAACTCATATCAAGGGGGTTTATAGAATAATAATATAACAGTACTTTGATCATGAAAACTTTGAAACCACCTCACAGAAGATTATGATATATATCTTAATCATTAGATTCAAGTAAGCCAGATATTTTTCTGGGCTATGCAATTTTCAGAAAATATTAAACCTAAGTAAAACAAATTCATGAAGAGAGTCTGCCAGTTTGTAATCATAGAGTTGACTGAAGAATTCAGAGAAACTTCAAAGTTGGTTTCCAAAACCCTCCGCATTGCCCTCTGCTCTCTCTCCTACATATGGCTAAGTATTAATTTTAAAAAAATATATTTCTATATTTGAAAATTATGCAATAAAGAAAGACAAATATTTCTTATTCTAGGACTTGTCAGAGATTTTAATGATAAAATATATTAGACTTCTTAAGAAGAATGCAAGTTTTCTGAAATAAATTATTCTATCAGATTTTTTTCTACTGCATTGTAGAGCTCCACTAAAGCAGCGAACATATCAACAAAATGTACTCAGTATCTGTTACATGTTAAGCCCAGGTTTGATATATCTCATTCTTTGAATCCAGCTTTAATGCAGCTTAAATTTTAGATTTTGCAACCAAAAGGACTATTCGATAATTGCATAATGACAGGTTCTGTTATACCACATGATATTAAAACTGTTCAAAGTTGTGAAACAGCTTGATTCAGAACCCTAAAGCACTCACTCTTAGAAGAATAAGATAAACACAACTTTTAAGATTAGTAGACATGTGATTCACAAAAAGAGAACATCCGTGTTTCCTGGTGGAAATATGAGAGACAAAAATCACTGTGACATGGTACAATTTCCTGAATGTCCTTAATTCATAGTTCTTAAAAGTTTTTACTTTCTTTACACCATTTTTAAAGCATGACTCAAGATCACTATCATCTGAGGCGTATATTACCTTCTCTTCCTCTTTTTTCTCTTTGTGCTATTTTGTAGACACAGTGTCAGGAATGAAGAATGAAGATGAAGAGAACAGCACGTTTTAAAACTAACAGATGAAAGAAATGGCCAACAGGAGATATAATAACCGTGCTGTAAATCCATGTAGTAGAATCCTTTGACACTGCTGGCACCAGAGAGACCAACCAATTGCTTGAATAGTTATGAATAAAAATCAAATTAAGTTGCTTAGGCACAAATATTTACAGCGTGTCAAAGATTTACCCTTAAATCTTTTCCTTGACCACTGTTTGGTAAGCTAATTTAAATCATGAGAATAACAGAAAAATAATGAAAAAACTGTTCTTTGATCATGAAAAACTTGGAAATTACTTCACACAAAGTTATAATTTATATCATAATCAAACCCTTGAACCATTCTGCATGAAAGGTAACATTATTATTTCCATTCTATGGATGTGAGCTCAGATAGATGAAATTACTCCCATGCCAATAGGATTAGAAATGAAAGTTAGGGATCCTCACTCCACGTATTTGGCATTTCCCTCCACATCCCATTATGCTTGGTGGGCTTTCTCTTTGCTTTCCTTATCTCCCTGAGGTCTCTGAGGTCATTTCATACGTATCATTTATCTGGCTCTCTCTTATGTTGTTGCATTTCCCAAAATGTATTGCATAGAGTGTTCCCTGAAAAAGAAACTCATGATCAAGTCCACTAGGGAATGCTGCCTAATACATTCATTATTTTCATACCAATGATGCATGCATATTAGCATAGTACAAGCACTGAGAAGTCCTAGAGTAAAGAAAGTTCTTTGAATAAGTTCAATTAAGCATTTTCCAACTGTATATGCTGCACAGACACTTTTGTACTGTCTTCTATGATCATTGTTCAAATTTCACAGAACTAGGTTCTAATTTGGTATTCTACCTAGACATCATCTTTCACTCATTCCCTGAATAGGACATAGGCTATTTTCCATGATTTTAATTTGGTATTTTTCGAACACTTCCACTAATCAGGTTGGGTAGATTATCTCCAAGGGCAGCTGTGGGTAACACAGAAGGATATAAGTATTTACAGCTACTCCTCTCAAGAGGCTGAGTCTATTGACCTTGGCCTTATGTAACTAATAGAATGCAGTAGAAATAGCACTGTTTCAGATCTGGAACTAGCCCTCAAGAGATCACATCAGTGTCAACTTTTGCTTTCATGTAAAACACGTTGGATACGGGATACAAAATTAGGATACGCTGTGTAGAGACAGCAAGAGACCACATGGGAAATAACTGAGGCTTTCCAGCCTACAGCTAGAACCAAGTACCCAGATCTGTGAGTAAAGCCTTCTTGAATGTTCCAGCCCTACAAATTCCCCCCGAATGAACCACATGAGAAACTTTAGCCAATACCATGTGGAGAAGACCCAACCAGCCAAGCTTCAGTATCATGAGCAATAATAAATCACTGTTATTTTAAGCCACTGTATGCTGGAGTATTTTATTGTGTAGCAACAAATAAACAAAACAAAACACACAGTTATCTCACGCAATGGGGAAGAATCCAGGGCAGGCTCTGTATTTGTAACTTTCTACTGCCTCTCAGTTTAGATTGTACATGGACATTGGAAAACCGGATGGACTCAAGGTTAAAAATTGCACAATAATGAGAGGAGATTCCTCTCTCCTCTGATCTTATGCACATGTTTGCTATACGCTTACTTTTCTGCCAGGGTTCAACGATCTCATGTCTTAATTGTAACTCCTAAATGCACACTCACCAGAATGGATATTTCCAGCTTCTATAAGCCTGATCTTTTTCTCCTTTTCACATGTCTCTTCCAAACCAGTCCTTATCCTTCCTTTCAGAAATTTCCATTACTTTCCTCTGAGCTCTTTGTCAATAAAAACCCCAAATGAGAACTATCTAGCTATTGCAAACTTAGACATATAGAGGAAAATTTCTGTTATTATTCTTGATTTTGCTGTTGATTGAGTCTAAATGGAGAAACTATTTTAGGCAAGAGAGATATTCAGCCTAATAGTGATTTTTGAAAAATATCTTATTTTAATAGCTATCCTAAGTGAGGAATGCCAACATTATAAATGCATCAAAACAGTTTTGAGTAAATATATCCATTTATAAATTTTTATTTTAAATCCTCATTTTATTCCAAAGCCCCACCAGGATGGCACACAGTCAGCATTTGAGAAAAAACAAAAAAGCCTCATTTCGTAAAATTCGTTTGTACTTTCCTTTCATCCTAACCCAACTGACAAAATCAACAAATCTTCAGTCTAAGCTAGTGTTTTGTGGCCTCTTTATGTTCTCCTCTTTTCCCCTTTAACATAGATCCAGGGGATTGTAAAGATAAATTTTGTTGGAATATACAATTGTAGACACTAAGAGCTGGAAGGAACCATAAAAGCTACCTAGATCACATCAAATCTCTGGCATAAATGGCAAAACAGGAACCTTGCTCCACTCTGGAAAACATTAAATCAAACATAGCATCAACTAAACCTGAGTCTCCCTGTCCCTCTCTTCCATCACTAACCAGGACCCAGATGCCTATGTAAATAATCCCAGTTAGAAATGCATTCATCACATAAAAACTCAACAAATGAGTGCCTACAGGAAATACCACTCCAATAAATCTTGCAAAATGTCTGCTATTCACCATCTTCGAAGTTATGAGCATATGGAAATGAACATAATGTTTGCAATTAAAAGACTTACTTGACTTCAGGTACAGAAAAAACATGTCTGAACCTTTCAAATGTACTTTAAGACTATGAATAAGGTTCTATAAAAGTTGGAGTATCCTTTATTACATAGAGATTTATCATTTATTTCTTAAAATTGTATTCTTTCAGTGTCTTCCTTCTTCCCTCAATGTGCTTTGCACGCATACATTACAGAGATGAAATCTGAAATTATTCCATGTATTTCAAAAGGAAATAGGTAATAATATTTTGTTGATGATCATTAAAATGACTTTGCAGTAGCTATTATGAACTGTTAAACTCGGAATATTAATGCCTCCCACTCATGATTATTTTAATGAGATATTCCATAAATTCTCCATCAAGCCATAATTCCCTTTATAGTACTTATTTATAAGGGTGTGTTTCTACAAAGTATTTTTGGAAATTAAATCATTTTCCTCTTCATTGCTTCCAAATGGAGATTTCTCTCTTTTAAGAAGTCAGCAAGATGAAGTCAAAAAATTTAACCTCTCGGGGTCTTATTATGCTCACTTGAGTTTCTGCAACACAGGGATTAGCAAGTTTTTCTTTCAAGGGCAAGCTAGCAAATATTTTAGGTGGTTTGGACCACCAACTCCCTGCTGTAGCTACTTAACTTTGCTTCATACAGCTAAAGCAGCCATAGACAATATATAAATGAATGGATGGGGGTGCTGAGTCCCAATAATACAGGCCACAGGCTGAATTGGGCACAGGGGTTATAGTTTGCTGACTCGTGTTCTACAAAATCCTATTCAGATGCTTTTCCTAGTTATCTATGGACCCTCTAAACACAGGAATCTCACAATATCTTGTAAAGTCTTTTTTTGTTTATTTGTTTTTAATTTGAGGATCTATCTGATGTTTACAAAGTAATTTTAATTCACTGAAATAAATGTATATTCAAACTTTGGGAATTACTGAAAAAAAGTCCTACTTTTACAGGATGCTTCTTGAAATATATTGATCCTGCCCTCATGTTCTATTGTTCATTTATTTTCTGGGCTCCAGTTCCTCCACTATACAAAGATAAGTAGCACAATTTTAATTCCTTCCTCATTCTTGCCAATTCCCTCTGAACACAATTCACTTGTCAAAGTTCATTTAGAGTGGTACCCAGAACAAAAGCCAACACTCCAGGTGTGGAATGGCCATCGTTCCCCAGAGTAGAAGCCTCATTTCTCTCACTTTAGGCATTCTGTTTCTCTTAGCACCATTCACAAACCCATTATTTGACCAATCATGAGCCAACAATAATTTATACTTCAAGGGAATAATTTAAAATAGGAGGTTTGCCGTGGGAAAGAGAAATACCATATACAATTAATAGTGGGACAGAAAGACATGTGTTTTGTACACTGGCATCTTGGAGGCCAGAGGAGTAGCTCCCAAGGCCTCATGGGGGAAAGAGCTGAACTTCGGAGGCGGCAATGTAACCTTGTTGTGTGCTTGCAGGATGTTTTCATGTCCTGTGAATTAGGGTTAACCTTTGTGTTGCCCATGAGGAGGTTGGAGAAAAGCTACCAATGCAAATAAAATTTCTCTTCCAGCTATGCCTTGCTCAGAAGATTAAATCAAGGTCATCCTAAGAGTGGTTGTTTGTCTTTATTTTGGGGAACTCCTGCACTGGTGTTATATCTATCTGTCTATTGGTCTAAGAATAAACGATGAGGCTGGATTTAACAAACACTTGATTTTTTTTTCTTTCTGCAAGTGCATGCTTCCTCTATCCTGACTTGGGTTCTCCTGCTCTGAGAGCTTCATTCTCAAATGTAGATGGCCAGCCCAGAATACTGCCTGGATTCCTCATTAAGAGGCAGGTAGATTTGGAACCCTGTGACTTGCTCTGCAGGAGCCCTGAGAATGACAACCCAGGGTTAACAGAGGACTTGGCAGGGCAAGAAGGAAAGGGCAATGATCAGAGCACAGGCTAAATGTGGAGTCTTCTGTCTCCTTCCATTTGGCTCTGCAAGGTCAGAGGTTGATGCAAGAGGATTGTACAACATAAACTAAGAGTGGTCTGTCTCTACTTTCTGACAGTTTCTGTGCATTTGGTACCACTGTGCTCACTTGCTATACATCAGTGATGCTTAACCTCTCTGCAGCCTTCTCCACACTCCTGCCATTTGTTCTTAAAAGGTGTCCTTATGCCTCTGATTTAAAACCACTGGAGGGATTAGTTATTAAAATTATAGATAGAGCATAAATGTGCAAGAAAGGTTTTACTATATTTTTATTTTCAAAGTAGTTCTTAGAATACATTCAACATTTTCAAACTCAATGTTTCTTCTTTATTTTTTATTAACATATTTTGCGAGGTCAATCACTCCTCTGTTAGAAATTTTGTATATGACTTTGGAAAAATGAGACACCTTTGTTGAAATAGACTTGTGTGTGTCATCACTCACACATAAGTGGTTCCAGGTCTTTGCTTAATGTGCAAAGTGACAATAATTCTGTCTGGCACCTAGGTCTGCAGCTCTGTCTTTACAATTGTGACAAAGGATGAAACTTGAGCACATCAGACATTCTCCAACTTGAATATAATTTTCTTCATTTGTAAAAACTGGCTCTTCCTTCATCCTTTCTATCACAAAATATTGCTGAGCTCTTGCATTGTGTCAGGCACTGTACTAGATGCTAATATTTGAGACACAACCATGTAAAAGCTTGCATTTAATGTGCTTCTCCTGTCACATCCTTATCAGGAAAGATTCCAACCCTCAATTTTTTTTCTACACTAAGATCACCAGGGTGAAAAACATCCATGGGAAGGATAATTATAATATTGCAAATAAATATAACTTTAGGCTGAATGTCAGCAAAATGGCAGAATAGAATTCTTCTGTGCTCATATCCCTACACAAACATCAATTTGAACAACTGTCCATGCACAAAACTATCTTCATAAATTATAAGGAAACCCGGTGATAGATTGCAGCACATGAATGTAGCACAGAAATATGAAAAGATTCATTGAGGAGAGTAGGAAGCAGGAGAGGGCAATGAACCAGATGGGTACCCAGAGTGAAAACCAACATGCCAGGAGTAGAATGGCCACTGTTCCCCAAAGTAAAAGTTTCATCTCCCTCATTTTGGACATTACTTTACTCTTAGCACCATTCACAAAGCCACTATCTGACAGATCATGTGCCAACAATACAAAGGCTCATGTACATCACCCATGTCAGTCCTCCCCCAGGCAGTACAGTGTGGAGAGAGATACCTCTGAATGGGAGAAGGGGAAGTATGTGAACCCTAGACTTTGCCTCAGACCCCAAAACTGAGCCTTTCCCAGTATAACATGGCACTGGTAGGCTCCCAGGGCCCCACACTCCAGTCCAGTACCTGCAGGCTGAGCTTCCAGGTGCATTCAGATGCCACGTGAGATCCTACAGCCACAGGCTCCAGGCCAGTTCAGTGAACCATTGGCCCTGGGCTACAGATCAGCCCCAGTTCTGGTTCAGCCAAGTGACCCAAGGCTTCAGGCTGCCCCAGCATGAGGCCTACCCCACAGGCTATCTCTAGGGCCACTCTCATGCTAAGCTGATCCCCATGGTCCCAGGCTTCAGGGCAACCCCAGCACCAGGCCAGGCCCTGCAACTCCAGGTTCCAAGCTCATTTGAGGTTCCAGAACAGCCCAGAACCAAGTCAACCCACACAACATTGACCTTCAGGCCCACTCCGGCACTAGGTTAGCACCTAAGACCTCTGGTACCAGGTCAGCATCTGCAGACACAGGTTTCAGGCCTGCCCACCGCCAGGCTGGTCCTTGTGGCTCCACCCTCCTGAACGGCCCCTCTGGCTCCTGCTCAAGCAGACCTAGGATTTTGACCTGTTCCACCCTACCCAGGGACCAGGCTTACCCCAGTAGACCCTAGCACTGGGCCCGCCTCCAAGGACTTAGGCTCCAGACTGGATCTCATTGCCCCAGAACCTAGACCAGCTTTAACTGACCTAGACTCCAGGCTGGCCCCCACAAACTCAGGCATTATTTTAGCTCCTGTGGCTTTAAACTCCAGGACAGCACCTGTGATCTCAGATTCTAGATCAGCACTGGTGGACTCAAGTTCCATGTCTGTTCCAGCACTAGGCCAGTCCCAAGCTTCATGCCAGTCCCAGGCTCTGGTATATCCAGGATCTAGTCCTGCTCTGACAGAACTAAGGTCTAGACCCAGCCCTGTGGACCCTGTTGCCAGGCTGGCCTCCACAGACTGAAGTTCCAGGATTACATCTGCAGACTCAGGCTCTAGGCTAGCTCCTTTGGACCCAGAAACCCAGGCCCACCCCTTAATACCCAGCCTCAAAGCCCACTCCAGTGGAGCTAGTCTCCAGGCCCATCCCAGTACCTAGCCAGCTCCTGCATACTTAGGCTCAAGGACCCACCCAGTGTCATTTCAGCTCCTATGACCCCAGGCTTTAGGGTTGTCTCAGTAGACACAGGCTCCAGGCCTGCCCTCACAGACCCAGGCTCCAGTGCCATCTCTATAGATCAAATCAACAGGTCTAGCTCGGTGAATTCAGGCTCCAGGTCTAACCCCACAAACCCAGCTCACATACTCACTGACCCAGGCACTAGACCAGTCTACCCAAGGACTCTAACAGCAAGCCTCTCCCAGAATTTCTGGACAGGCAGACCATTTTTAGGATTCCCCAGAAAATAAGCCAGTCCCCAGAGATTGAAATAAATCCCTACTTTTTCAAATGTTTAGACACCAATGCACAGCCACAATGATCAGAACAATCAGAGAAACATAACGCCAACAAAGGAATAACAGAGCACTAAAGCCACCCCTAAAGAAATGGGGATTTACGAGCTGTCTGACAAATAATTCAAACTAACTGTTTCTAAGAAAGCTCAGCAAAACTCAATAAAATACAGAGAAACAACAAAGTCAAGAAAACAATAATCAAATTAATAAATTTAACAGATTGAGATTACTTTAAAAAATCAAACACATTTTGCAGATGAAAAATACAATAAAGGAAATGAAAAATGTGACAGAGATTGTCAACAGCAGAATTGATCAAGCAGAAGGAAGAATCTGTGAACTCAAAGATAAGTTATTTGAAAATACATAGAGAAGAAGGAAAAAATAGAATGAAAAAGAGTGAAGAAAGCTTATGGGATTTATGGAAAAATGGAAAGAGCCAATGTTTGCATTATAAGAGCTTGAAAGAAGAAAAAAGAGACAAAAAACAATAAAACTTAAAGAAATAATAACAGAACACTTTCCAAACGTGGAGATGACAGGAAGGTCAAAGGTCTCCAATAAGATTTAACCCAAACAAGGCTGTACCAAGATATATAATCAAACTGTCAAAAATCAAAGACAATAAGTATTCTGTATTAAAGAAGAGAAATGGAGCATGTCACATATAAAGGAGTTACAACAAGGCTAGCAGAAACTAGCCTTGGTTAGAAGTGAAACCTTATAGGTTTCATGTCTCAGATGAAGCCTTATAGGCCAGGAGAAAATTGGGTAATAGATTCAATTGTCAAAGGAAAAAAAAAAAAGCCTATCAAGAATATTATAAGTGGAAAATGCTGTCCTTCTGAAACAAAAAGAGAATTTCTCAGACAAACAAAAGCTGAAGGAGTTCATCACCACCAGACCTGTCTTATAAGAAATGTTGAAGAGAGTTCTCCCAGTTGAAAGAAAAGGGCACTAAATAGTAACATGAAAACGTAAAAGAATAAAGCTACCTGGTAAAAGTACACAGACAAATTCAAAATGTTCTAATACTGTAATAGTACTGTGTAAGTCAAATATATTTAAGATAATATGTTAGGAGACAAAACTATTACTACTAATAATAGCTACTGTAACTTTAAAGAAATATACAATGTAAAAAACTGTAAATTGTGAAATCAAAAACATAAAACGTTAGGGAAGGTGAAGTAAAAATCTTGGGTTTTTTTAATGCAATTAAATGTAAGTAGTTATCAACTCAAAATGGCCTGTCATATCTACAAGATGTTTTATGTAAGTCTCATGATAACTACAAAACAAAAACTTATAGTAGATACAAGAAAATAAAAGGAAGGAATTAAGGCATTATACTAGAGAACTTACTAGAGAAGATCACCTAATTATAAAGAAAGAAAAGGATCTACAAAATATCCAGAAAACCTATAACAAAATAGCAGTAGTAAGTACTTACATAGCAGTAATTAACTTGAATGCAAATGTTGCAAATGCTTTGTCACTTCACATGTGAAAGTTGTTCCTACGTTTTCTACAACAACTCTGTCTTTCAGGGAAAAAAATAAACCAGTAATCAAATAATTACGTTATCCAGCCCCTTTAACCCACTTAGAGTTTCTTAATAATGTGAAATAACTTCACTCTGGCTATTGTTAGGTTTATCCTGGTTTTATCTAATATAAATTTGATATATTTAAGTATTTGAGTGTATATGCTATGCATGCTTGTTTCCAAATCATCAAATAAACCATTGTTTCAGCTATAAAGAAAGAGATTTTCATGTTGCACATTTGAAGAATACATATGAGTAATTATCTAGCTACATTAAATACACAATAGAAAAGCAATGCTCTCTATCAATTTATTAACAAAAGAAATAGAATCAATGATAACTGAGAAAATGTGCTCCCCTGAAGTTGACTACGTTCACTGTGGTAAGCAAGGCATCCTTTGATTAGGATGAATGGGTTTTGCAGCCTTTTCATGACTGTGAAACACACAATCTGTAATGAAGCTGTGAGGTACTTCTTTCTTAGAAAGCAATTCTGGGATTTATCCAAGCTTAGCAAGGGCAGCATTGGTGTAGATCCATCCATATGTGACAATGTGTTTTTATGCTTTTAGCAGAAGTCTTTGATAAGCTTGAACATATCATTGTCTTTTCTTTTTGGATGCAATGGTTCATAACACAAGCCTTTGTCTTTGATCACTTTCTCTTGTATAAAGTACACAAACACTGACAGCTGAATGCAGTGATCAGCTGTCGTTGTCTCATCAAGTTGAATAACCAAGCACAAGGAGCAAATCTTGATGTATTCTATAACCTGCTGCAAGTGATGCTTGTTAGTTTTATTAATTCTAACAAGTCATTCCATTTGACAGTAAAACATTGAGAAGCTATTTTGTTTTTTTAAGTGTACAACTTACAATACTATTTTGTTATATTATCAATGTTTTGACTATAGCAAAACCTTCCCCCACACCACTCCTACTCATATATATATATAAAACTGTATATAACTATAAATAACGCATATATAAAACTATATATATAACTATATATATAACATATATATATAACTTTTTACTAGTGCATATTCTTATGCTTCGATGAAAAGAACCCAATTCTAGCTTGCATAAAAAAAGAATAAATAACTTTATGAGCTCATGTAATTGAAAAGTCCAGATGTGAGTATGATTTCAGACTTGGCTGGATCTAGGGGCTCTTCCATGTATTTAAGATATGGCTTTTATTCATCATTTTTACACTCTGTTCTTCTCCATATTTTTGTTTTCAGTATAAAAATATTTTCTACATATTTTTGTCTCCCCACCACCTAGTAGCTGTAGATATACATCCTCTGATTTTTAAGTTTAGCAGAAAATTATATCTTCCTCTAAAATTAAGAAAAAAAAGGTAGAGTTTATCCTTGGAGACTCAATGGCTCAGAATGGCTCAGTCTGGGCTATCTCACTGTCCCTAAATAAAACTCTGATGCCTGGTTGGCCAAGCCTGGTGGCATACTCAACTCCTGACACTAAACTTGGAGTCAGCTTCACCAAACCCAGAAAGACTAAAGATGTCTCCAGATTCAGGGTACTCTTACTAGAAGAAAAGGTATTGGATGCTGAGCATATAGAAACATCAAATATCATATTATAATTATAATATAAATATAATATTATTCTTACACTTCCCAAGCACCTCTCCAATGATCAATTTGCAAGTGCTATCAATATTTTATTGCCATATCATGATCTGGTAGATTTCACTGTGTGGAGGTCATATCCAATTCCATTCCCAAATCATATTTCAGTTCAGGAAGCATGTATAGATTGATATTGACATTTAAAAATAATCTGTTGCACAATGACATTGAAGACACTGAGCTCTGTCCATTTTAAGTCATCTAGGAATAGCCATTAGCAACAAACACGGTCTTTCCATTTGTATTTTTTCAACATGACATGGACAAAATTCACAGACAGTAGCGCAAACGGTATGGGTTTTTGTTCGTTGCTTTCTTTGTTTTTGTGGGACTGCTCTCTTTCCAACTCACATAGTCAAGGTCTAACCAAATTCAAGGAACAATTTTTCACAGTCAAATCATCATATTGGTGAACATCAAGGAAATCATTAAAATGTGGAGGATCAGATTTAACCATGACTATGGAATTTAACTCAAGTAACTTCTTTCAACTTATCTCACCACTATAGAATCCTTGCTGGAGTCGCTATGGTCATAAAAATGCCAGCACAAATCTTATCTTGATATAGCCAGCGCTGGTGAATCATATGCCTATGTTAGCTGTTTCAGCTTAATTTATATACTTAATGATTTGACTTTTAAACAAACTACATGTGTCTCCCATTCCAAGACAAAGCAGCTTCCACTCTTACTTGCCAAGCATTGTTTCACACCCTGAAAGGCAAATGTCTTCATGCCACAGTGTTGTGTGAAATGAAAGCTATATACTGGGAAGTCCAGTATACAACAGTCTCTACCAGAAATACTCAATGTCTACATATGCATATACAGTAATATAATCAGGAAAATAGAAATGTCACTTTCTGCTTCCTATGACTTTCATCTTGCTCTTCCTTATTTCACCTGTACCAAAACCATGCATTTCTCACTTACTTGCACATCAATTTCTGCTGGACACTCACAGATCCAAACCATGCATTCCACTTTACTCTCTCATGAAATCAAAGAATCTCTGCGCTGAATAATGTCTTTCAGGTCGCCTGGTTGTATATTTAAATCACCTATAGAAGATTCCCTATCTTAGAGTCTCTGCTTTATAATGGGAGAGGTATTTGAAGTGGTCCAAATCACAGGTGCTGGGGGCTAGCACCTCTAAACCCAGCTCCCTCATATGAATGGGCGATCTTGGTAATTTGCTTACCTCTGTTAAGACCCAATGTCATCATATGGAAATAATAATAGAAATAATGGTGTCAACCTCCTGGGACATTAGCACAAAATTCATGAGGCAATGCCTATACAGTGAGTTTAACACAAAGCTATGTTTGTGTGGTAGAAGCTCAATAACTGATAAGATCTATGTATCTATCTATATGTCCATATTTATATTTCTATTTTCAATAAAGTTTCATTTAATTTTATAGCTACTACACACTGAAAAATGTAATCAGGATAATACAGAATGAAAGAAGAAAAAAATCACACATAATTTATCCAATGAGATGCAAATTTTATTGAATTTGGTGCTCTTCCCTTTAAGCTTTTTTCCACTGAATGTTTTTCTTTTCCATAGCTGAGATCATATTATGTATATATTTTGGAAACACATTTTTAATATTATAACATAAATAATTCCCCATGTTACTAAAAATGCTACATAAACATCATCACTAACGTTTAAATTTTCACCATGCAGTCTTACCCCAATTTAATTAACTATGCCCCTGTTTTTGAACATTGAGGACAGACATATTTTTCAAGCTACATTTGCATAAAACATGAGAACTATCTATATTGACACAGGGTTTGTTGGAAAGGAAACAGGGTAATATACACTTAACATGACCAGGCGAAAAATGATATTGGATAAGATACAACAAACGGTCTTTCTTCTAGTTTTTGATTATATTAATATTAATATTATTACCAATAATAACATGTATGTAAGTGCCTACTATGTGCCAGGCATGCTGCATTATTTAACTTTGTCATACAAAAAGACTCGTGAGGTAGGTTTCATAGAAGAGGAAACTGAAGCATAAGAGGTGTAAGCAAAGCTCATGTCACTAGTGACTGAGTCAGAATTTGAATCTAAATATGTCTGCCTAAAATATTCTTGTCTTTTCACAAAATCCAGTGGCCAGACTACTTCAGTCTGCCCATGATTCTCACTTTGGGGTCAGGTGGACCCCCTAATAGCCATAGCAAAGGTAAGTTTCTTGATTAGATTCCAAAAAATACACAGATGCTAATAAAAAACAAACAAACAAACAAATAAAAAAAACACACACAAAGAAAACCTTTTTTATAAAAGAAGGAAATGCAGCTAAACTCCGTGTGACAGGTTTAGTCCAAGCCAATTGTGGTGACCCCATTCCCTCTGCCAGTGATAGATTTGATAATGGGCACATGACCTAATTCTGGCAAATAAATTTTGAGAAGATTTCTTTTGAGAAAAAGAAACAGGGCAGGAATTCTGGGAAACAATTCTTCATGATGAAGAGTACCAATAAGTAATGATCCTTCTTCTTCCTCTTCACTTTTTTGTCTGGGCATAACACCTGGAACTGCTACAAAGTCCTTGTTCCTGGGTTGAACATGAAGTTAGCACAAAGAATGTCAATGTGGAGGCATCATACAAATATGAGTCATTAAAGATCTGTCACATTATCCTACCTCTGGACTTGATGTTATAGAAGATAATGAATTTCCTTATTGGTTCAGTCTATTTTGAGTAAGGTCATCTGTTACTTGCTGCTAAAGGCATTCTATCTGACTTCAAGAGGATCTTTAGTAGCCTAAGACTCTTAACTCTATCTATCATTGCATTACACTTATTAAGTGTGTAAGGATTTTTACCACATTTCTACATCTATCATCTAAAGAGAAATGCATAACTTACCCCTGATGGTTTTTGGACAAACTTCATTATTCCATTTAAGTAACGGAAATCTGAAAATTACAAAAACTAAGTAACTTGAAGAAAGTGGCTTGAATAAGTATCTGTGTCAGAATTTCAACAACAGTACCCTGGCACCAGGGTGCACGTTTTCATGTGAATTCACATATAAACTCACGTTTGGATTCTGCCATATGGTAGCCTCAATACTTTTATGTTCACCATTCCACTTGATTTTTGACATCAAATCTATCACTTTGCAAATGCTGTTTTATTATGTCCACTCTTTAATATACTGTAGTCCAAGAAGGCATGTGAGCTTTTCAAGGTGACATAGCAAGGAAAGAGAAATGGGCAAGACCCACTGTTCTGGAATCAATGTTTTTGATGTCCTCCTGGATTCATTTGTTGAAACTTTGCCCATCCATGTGATGCTATTAGGGAGTTGGATTTTGGGAGGTAATTAGGATTAGTTGAGATCATGAAGGTGGAGTCTTCATGAATGGGATTAGTCTTATAAGAGTCAGAATTGAGCTTGCTTCCCTCTCTCTGCTGTCAGACTAGTGAGAATCCAATGAGAAAGCTACAGTCTGCATCTGGAAGAGGACCCTCACTAGAACCTGAGCGGGCTGGAACCCTGATGTTGGACATCCAGCCTCCAAAACTGTGAGAAATGTATTTCTGTTGTTTTTAAGCCATTTGGTCAATAATATTTTTGTTACAGCAGTCCAAGTTGGCTAGGATGCCTACCCTGATGCATAAAAACAGATCTGCTGTAGCAAAACAGTATTGTTCACCATGCAGCACTCTTTCTTTCAGTCTCTTTCATAGTAGAGTTAAGGTCATGTGGCTAGTCTGGCCAATGGGCTATGAGCAAAATTGGTATGAATTATTCTTGGCCCAAGGTAGTTAGAAAAGGATGTAATTTCTTTATGGTCTCTCAGACGTTTTCCATTATTTTCATGGCTGGAAGTGAAGAGCACCACCATTCCAGAGTTGCTGAAATGAAGCAGCCAAGGCCCAGCTTAGATGTCCCAATTGATGATGGATGAGAGTGTTAAACCTCCATCCTGCACAGGATGGAACACCAGGAGCCCCAAATCTACGTGTAAGTTAACATTAGTATGAAATTAAATCTGACATGTTCAGCCACTGAAATTTTGGGTGTTTGTGTTACTGCAGCACATATATCCTATTCTAACTAATTCAGCTGCTAGAATGCCAATAGCTGGTTGGTTTAACCAGTACCTAAGGAGAGGTTTCGTTTAACTTTTGAATACCTGGTAGACCATTTCAATGTATAGTATCTTTCTAGGTTTTCAGCCTCTACTTTAAAGTCCTTGGATACAAAGTGCTGGTGCTTTTTAAAGCTCTTTCTTTACTTTGTTTTACATGGGTGAATAGTTGCTTTATTTATTATGCAGTTGGTGGTGGTTATGGAGAATTTTTCTTCACTATGCTTCAGATTTATAGAGCTGGGCTGCCCTTTTATTAGGCAATATATTCAGTTTGGCATTCTTAGGTGCCTAGAGAATTTGGCATAGATATACTTTTATCATAAAAAAATTCTCATAATTATTATTATTAGCATACCCTGTTGTTTATCAAACTCGAGTGCAAAAAAAATGCATATGTAGTTTTGAGAGCCTAAGTCTTTTGGTCTTTGAGTAGAATAAAGAATGGCATAAATATTCCTGAGGCTTAGTGAATATACTCGCCAAAAAATTACATGAACTACTAAAATTACAAATAGAGTATTGCTGCTGGTATCCTTGAAACTAAGGTTTCCCTACTGTACAATGGATTTAACACACATATATTTCCCTATTATACCTCCAGGGCATAGCTACAATTTACTTGAATCTTGAAAGCATCAAATCCCGACTGACTGCTCCTGGGGAAAAAAGAAAAGCTCCATCTTTCACCCCTAACATTGCAGAGCCTAAGGAAACATGGGCAGTCACCTAGTTGGAACTCCATAAATTACAATTTAAAAAAGCCAAGAGAATAGGAAATAATTGTCAAAAGGTGGCAAAAGTAGTTAGGATCCAGCCCCATGTTTTTCTCTATTTTATGTCTTCTTCTAGATCTCAAAAAAAGAAGCAACGGGACCACATCATGCGTCCTTCCTCCTGCTTTCTAAAGCAACGGTCATCTTCCTCCATATCTTAGGTTTAACAATAGGAAAATATAGTCTTTCAGGCTGGGCATGATCTCTGTGTATCAATTAATACTACCATTTGGGCGGGGTGCGGTGGCTCACGCCTGTAATCCCAGCACATTGGGAGGCCAAGGTGGGCGTATCACGAGTTCAGGAGTTTGAGACCAGCCTGGCCAATGTGGTGAAACCCAGTTTCTACTAAAAATACAAAAATCAGCTGGGCATGGTGGCACGCACCTGTAGTCCCAGCTACACGGAAAGCTGAGGCAGAAGAATCGCTTGAACCCAGGAGGCGGAAGTTGCAGTGAGCCAAGATAGTGCCACTGCACTCCATCCTGGGCAGCAGAACGAGACTCCATCTCAAAAAAAATAAAAATAAAAAAAATTTTAAAACACTACTATTTGTTGAACACCTGCCCAGTGGTCAAAACTAAACTACAGGTTTTGTTTGTTTGTTTGTTTGTTTCTTTTTAATTCTCACAACAATCCAATGAGATGGAGGTCACCATTTTAGAAGGTTCAGAAAAATTAAGTGATTAGTCCTGAGTACATGGAGAGCAAGAGATAAAGACAGAATTCAGAGTCAGATCCCTTCTCTCCAGTGGTCCTATGTAACACTGTCCTCAGGAACAAAATAAAGCGTCATTATGCCCATTTTACAGAAAGAAAGCTGAGTCAAAAAATGTTAAGCAAATCATTTAAAATATCACATTAACTCAGTGACTGAGCTGGAACCAAGTATGCCAAAATTTCCAATGATCAGAGATTATTTTTTGCTCCTAGCTAACCCATTATTCTCTTTGTTGAATTTAGTGGCATAAGAAGTGAAGAATGGAATGAGTATGGTCAGAAATACATTTTGTTCTCATTTTAAACTTTTGTTTTCCAGATAAAATGAAGTGTCTACATAGTATGGGTATCTCACCACTTAGAACGTATCCAAGAATTTTTTTTATTATTATTTTTATAAGGCTAGCGAGGAGGTTGTCTGGCATATGACAGCACTCACTGAGGTTTTGCTATTGTCTTTGGAAAGAGGGCTGTAACCACAAGAGCCAGGCAAGATCCAGACATGGAGAAATTCAGAAAGTTGCCGTGAGACCTCATGCCTTGTGATCTGTCTCATAGGAATCTCTAAGCATCACCTCTTCAGCAGAACACTTGTGTCCTCATAAATTATTTATTTCAGAGCCTACTTACTTCTGAGATAAAGGTGATCGGCCCAAAGTCATAGAATTTAGACAATGAATGATCTTAAAAAGTAGCAAGTATGCTATCTCATTTTGCAGATGAGAAAGCTGTGATTTCAGAGAGGAGCAGTAGCTTATCAAAGGCCGTGCAAGTCAATTTGTGACAAAGTGTAAACCAGACAAAAGGTTATCACAAGGCTCATATCATGGCCAGCTGAATGACTGAAAACCTGGATATATACTCTATAAACAATGTCATGGTGCTGTGGCGCAAAGAAAGTTGAATTGCAGAAAAAAAGAAGAGTGTGATGGTAACTCTAAGCCAAAGGCAGAGGAAGAGAAAAAAAAAAGGTAATTAAAAAAATTACTGTGTATTCAGTTAGCCAGCATTTATTAGTCACCTCCTCTGTGGGAAAGCATAACCCTATGCTCAGGGCGGTGAGGGGACAAAGTGATTACACTGACCCTGTCTTTAAGGAACTTAATGTTTTCTTAGGGAAGCATCCACCTAGTCACAAAGGTTGGAAGAGTTACATTTTGGAAGAGCAGTACAGATAAATTGGTTTAGAGAATCAGAGAAAGAACAGATGTCAGAGATGATCAATCATTGTCAGCCTACTAAACTGCAAGGAAATCTGCTCATAATTTGGGGGAAGGTCTTATGTTGTTAGAGTTCCTGCAATTCCTCCAGCTTGGGAAGACACACTAAAAAATACAGAGCAGCTGGTTAAAAAAAAAAAATGTGTTATGCCTTCTCTTCACCACCGCCCTCCATCCACACTTCCTCCTCAGACTCTCCTTGCATATTCTTTTTCCATTCAAGCCTGCCTTATGAGTTCACCATAACTTAATTTCACATTTATTGATGTCTACTCTCTGTCTGCTGACCACAGAAGAGGCTATTTTATGTACATCTCATCAACTGCTTACCACATAGTAGACACATGATGTAACTAACTCCATTTACATATGGGAAAAAGGGGATAGAGATTTTAAGCCGTTTGCCAAAAGTCACACAGCTAGAATGCACTGGAGACTGGATTTCAATCTCGAAAACAAAGCTCCAACTATGAAGGAAAATAAAATGATCAAGTGAACTACATAAAATAAAAAATATACATGCATAAAATACATCATTAAATCTATCTGTAAACTTATCCAAATGATAAATATAAATATAGCTTAAATATTTACCTTAACGTCTTAATTATAGCCTAAACATCATCTATATATCTATTTACCTAGATGAGACAGACACACACACATATACACACACACACACACACACACAGAGAAAGACAGAGAAAGAAAATTTACATCTTAAATTGTATTTATTTATTTCCATACACGATTACTGAATATTGGAGGCATGAGGACACTATTCTCACAAAGTCCTGCCACATAAGGCAAGTCAATTTCCCCTTCTTGAGCTTCAGAAAAAAACAAAAGCTGATAAAAATGAAGAAATATGCAATGAATTAAATAAAATATGTAGATGTCAGCTTCAAACATTTCTGGTTGCAAAATCCAGGTTCAATATTTTACTAGCTTCTGAACAAGTAACTTCATCATTTTGTAACAGTATTGTCATCTGCAAAACAGGAAAACGATAGTAAATATCTTACATGGCTGTGCAAACATTAAACAAAATTGTGTATTTAAAATACTGACTACATTTCTGTTTAGAAAAAAAAAAAACTCAAACTGTGCTATTCCCTCACTGCCACACCAACATAAAAATAATCAATACAGATGACTTCTGTTAAAAAATGGGGTTTGGGGAGGGGTTCTTGTCACCACCACAGTTACTTATGCAGTAGGCACCAACTGGGTGTCTTCCAGTTCAATTCTCATATTGTCTACCTGGAGAGAGTGTCAGATCTCACAGGTTGAGGGCTCAGTCTCAAGACATCCCCCCCTCCGTTGAGACACCAGTTCCAAGTCCAGGTCTCTGGAACTTCTGTATGACAGGCTTCAAGTTGGGGTTCCCACAACCCCCTCTTTGGGTTTGATTAATTTGCTAGAGAGGCTCACAGAACACTTACCAATTTATTATAAAGTATACGACAAAGGATACAGATGAGGAAATGATTAGGGCATGGTATGGGGAGAGGGGCACAGAGCTTCCATGCCCTCCCTGGGTGCATCACCCTCCAGGAACCTCCATGTGTTTAGCGATCTAGAAGCTCTTGAGCCCCACCTTCTCAGGTTTCTATGTAGGCTTCATTATATAGGCATGGTCAACAACCATATAGAAATGCCACTGGACAAAAATCATATGATCGAAACCCAGCAAGGCCTGCCAGAATTTTCTTGGCCTCTCTGTGTAGCATTCCTTCCTCTAGTATATGGGGCAAGACCCTCTCTGGAATGAGCATCTTTTGACCCAAAGTTGGATTAGAGACCTACCTTGGGCTGGTGGAAGGAGGACAGGAGAGTGTCGGAAAGAGAGATTCTGTTTCCTGATGCCTGCCTCTGAGGCCTAGAAGCACCCTCACATTATAACAAGGGCCATGGGAGTTATGAGCTTCCTTTTGGACATGAATTTAGGAAAGGACAGAGCATGTAAGTGTTTTGTAGAAGTAAAAGCCTCACTCACTACCAGTGAGAGAAGAAAGCAAAAATTTCAACTACATCAGGAACGATAACCAGTTGCATATGTGCTGACTACCTAAAGAAATTCGCATAAGTGATTGAGACAACCTAAATTGAATTAAAACCTAAAGTAAATTGAAATGTCCCTGATTCTGATGAGCTTGGAGAGCTGACGCTGGCTCCTCCTTAGAGAGTGGGTATCCCTTTAAATGCCCACTTCCTCAGAGATTTCTTGACCTCCCTGAAAAGATAAAGTCTTGTTAAAAGGATTTGAAGAATCCCATAGTTCTCCTTCACACTGTCCATTTTCTAAGACCCTGTACTTCACTCTGAGATCATCTGTCATCTTAGATAGTATGCAATCATTTTGAATGGTCTCTGCTTTCTGTCTCTATCACTGAATGGTAAGTCATATGGGGGCAGAGACATATCTCTCTTGTTCAAAATTTGCCCTTATCTTGCCTATGACAACACCTGGCACAAGTGGCAAATAAAATAAGGTGAAAATAAGCATGACAGTGATCGTTAGGGAATGAAAGGAAGGAGAAAGAGAGACAGAAATGTGGGAGAAGGAGAGATGCTGGGGTTTCATGCTAATCTTTTAAATCCAGATTTAGAACTTTTCCTTTTATTGCACCAGATTCCGTCCTTCTCTTCTATTTTCCTCAATTTGTAAACTTTTGTTTGTTTGTTTGTTTGTTTGAGACAGAGTCTTGCTCTGTGGAGAGCACTGGTGAGATCACATCTCACTGCAGTCTTGATCTCCCAGGCTGAAGAGGTCCTCTCAAGTAGCTGGGAGTACAGCTGTGCACCACCACACCCAGCTAATTTTTGTATTTTTGGTAGAGATGGGGTTTCACCATGTTACCCAGGGTAGTATCAAACTCCTGAGCTCAAGCAATCTGCCTGCCTCTACCACCCAAATTGCTGGGATTCTAGATATGAGCTGCTGTGCCTGACCATTTTAAACTTTTTAAAAAAAGTAGTTCAGATTATTGTGCAGCTACATGTGGGGCTGGCATTTTAGAAAGTGTGGGGGAAGCTTTTTATACTGGCTGGCTTGATGCATAATTTGACTAACACATCAAACATAGGCAATGGAGAACCTGGGGTACTGTAGTCATCAGCTCACTTTTATTTTTTATTTATTTATTTTTGAGACAGGGTCTCACTCTGTTGTCCAGGCTGGAATTCAGTGGTATGATCTTGGTTCACTGCAACCTCCGTCTCCTGGGTTCAAGCAATTCTACTGCCTCAGCCTCCTGAGTAGCAGGGATTACAGGTGCACACCACCACACCAGGCTAATTTTTGTATTTTTAGTAGAGACAGGGTTTCTCCATGTTGATCAGGCTGGTCTCGAACTCCCAGCCTCAGGTGATCTGCCCGCCTCAGCCTCCCAAAGTGCTGGGATTACAGGCATGAGCCACTGCGCCTGGCTCTATCATTGGCTCACTTTTAGTTGAGCCCAAATAAGGCACTCCCCCAAATAAGGGGGAGAAAAGTGATGAGCTTGCCGACAGCTAATCTCGGCCACCTTGATAAGGTTAGCAGATTTAAGAACTACAACACCACTTCAAGGGTGGAAATGGGTGCTTTTAACAGACAACATTCTTTGAACCTGAATCTGCTTCAGTCATGGGTCACCTTAATCCTTCCCTAGATTGAGGAGTCAGTCTCCTAATGTTTGCTTTTCCCAGGCATATCTTTACAGACAATCGGAAATACACTAAACTCCAAGAATGAGTCCAGCCCATGCGACATCACTGTACACACAGCATTTTCTCTGGCTCATGTTGTTGATATGGGCTGGTCTACTACCCTGTCTCAGTCATCACCCCTGGTTATCAGGCAAGGCCCCAGCATTTTCTAGATACCTGTTAGTACCTGGCACACTGCCAGAAGGAACCTCAGAAGATGAACCATCATCCTTCCCTCCCATTTTAATATAATGATTGAATTGGGGCCAGAGAGGAGAAATGACTTGGCTGAAGCCTCAGATTGTGAACCATTATGATAGAGCTATATCTAGAACCAGGTACCCTTGATCAAAATTGAGAAACAGGTATGCTTAACCTGAGTCAGGTCTACCACTGGGAGAAAATTCCAACTTTTAAAAAATTTTTCTTTCTTTCTTTTTTTAAATGCATTGTAGATACTGGAACAGGCCCAAGTGGCAGGGCCACTTCCATGGCCAAATATCCGGGTCCTCATTACACAAAGTCACTGATCCTTCTCGTACTTTTTCCCTTAGTCAACAGAAAAGGGAAGGGGCCGCCTCTCTTCTCCTATTTTCATTAAAGCCCAGGCTCAGGGGAAAAAAATGGCTCTCTCTCCACCCCAACACACACATATGTCTTGATTTAAACTAAAACTTGAGGTCTACTAAATAACCCACTAAATACAGGGGCACACAGGATGTAGACTGTTTAAATCCTATTATAGTTCATTTTAATGTAAATTTAGTGATCACTAAGGGGTGCCCTAAAGGTGGTGACTCTGATCCCTGGTGCAACTGCTCTCCCCAAACATCTTGGAAAAATAAACAGAAAGAAACGAGGTCCACATTTTTCATGTCTGTTAACTTTGCCACATGAGGCAACCACCTAGGTTTCTGTAATAAGCAACTGTTATAATTAAGCCCTTTTCTCCCCCATGCCACACTGGTGCTCGGAGTCTGCAGGGAGCGATAAGAGAGTTCTGTTCTACTGAATGTTTTGACATTGTCTTTTGAAATGCACAGCTATAGAATATAAAACCTTTTTTTATTTGGGTTGTGGGAGACTGAAAATTGTATAAGCAATTATATGTGAATTGGAAATGCAATCTTAAATGTTGAACAAAGGTATATTTTCTCCTAATTCCAATGAAGCTGTATTTTTCTAATGGACTCCCATGATTCAAACATATATAAAGAGAGAAAAAAATATGTTTAATCTTCCAGTTGGTTATAAGACCCTGGTATACAGAAGAACTGTATAACAGTATGGGGGTTTATAATCCCCTAGCAGGAGGATTAGAAATTTGCAATGAGAGAACTCCTTCATCTTGCACTTACGTAACTTCACATTTTTAAGATTTAAATTGTACAAATCAAAAAAAAGAAGATCATTTTGTTCTTTTCTAAAGGGTACTCATAGATAAATGATGACTGGCTACAGCCTATTGAATGTTTGAAACATTTGTAGAATGTAATTTATTCATACTAAATACATCAGAAAAGTAACTCTAGTGTTAAATTACAGCATGAAGAAATTAAAAGGGAGAAGGGAGCAGTTGGGTTTAAGTGGATACTCTGAGGTTTGTAGAAAATGTCGAAAGGGTTCAAATGTTCCTAATGTGAAAGTAAATATTTGGGCATATTGCAGGAAGGCTTTCTCTCAGTGTAAGATAATAAAGTTTTTCATGGGATATGGTAGAAAGAAAAAACTGTTTAGTCTAGTTCATTTAATTTCCATGTGCTTTATTAATAAATGATTATACCCCAAAGATGATGTTCTTACTCACTTTCTTTCTTATTCAACTCTAGTTCCCCATAAAGTTTATTCTCCAGTGAGTCAAGCAATCTTTATTTTCGTTTTCCTTACTGATTTTTCTTCATTTAGCAGAAATTTCACTGGAGCAATAAGACACATATCCTTGGGAATTTGAGGACCAGAGGCTAATAAGGAGTCCATGGTTGATAGGATCTAGGAATACACAGACACTGCTGTCATCTAGCCCAAATTCCTTCCCATTGTTCCAAGAGTTATAGGCACAACTAAGGTAAAGACAGGCAAAATATCAATTTGCAAATTCATGACTCCAGCCTTAAACTTAGTATGCTGAGCTGGGTTAAATGGATAATTATTTTTGCTATGGTTTGAAATTTTTAATGATACCTCTCTTTAAACCCTAAGTTGCATCTTGGAATTTATCACTTTAGTAAGTCTAAAATAACAACGTGTTACTACAAGAGCAAAAAGTATATACAAAATAAAACAAAACAAAAAACATACGACCGAATAATCAAATCAAACAGAAATGTTTAACCCTGAAGGGAATAATACATATGTCTATAATTCTATCCACAAGTTTACCTAATATCCACACTGCCACCTGGTAAATGTCTGGGAATTGAAACAACAAGATCAGCATATATTTTCCTCCAAACTGAAACAGAAGAAAGCTTAGCAGAATATATCTATGACTTCAGGAGCAGAAAAAAGTTTTCTTACACAGGACACTAAAAGGTCTAATCATATTGAAAAAACAAAAAAGATAAACTAGGCAACAATAAAACTTAAACACTCTATCATAAAAAAACTCTATCTGTCTAAATGAAGCAGGGAGGAAGAAATATATATATATATATATACACACACACACACACATATATAGCATTATGTTAATATTGGGGGAATCTTGTAACCACCTGATGGGTTCTTCCTACCTGCTGCACAAACAAAATCAACTTACTAAGACCAAGCATTGCAGTAAAGAAAGAGTTTAATTGATGTGAGGCCAGCCACACCATGTGGGAGATGGGGTTATTACTCACATTAATCTCCCCAAGAACTTGGGGATCAGAGTTTTTAAGGATAATTTGGTTTATAGGGAGTAGGAAAATGGGGAGTGCTGATTGGTCTGGTCAGAGATGAAATTATAGGGAGTCGAAGCTGTCCTCTTGTGTTGAGTCAGTTCCTAGGCGGGGGCCGTGAGACCGGATGAGCCGGTTTATCAATCTGGGTGGTGATCCATCGAGTACAGGGTCTGGAAAATATCTCTACCACTGCTCTTAGGTTTTACGATAGTGATACTATCCCCAGGAGCAATTTGAGGAGGTTCAGAATCTTGGAGTCTCCAGCTGCAGGATTTCTAAACCATAATTGCTAATCTGGTGGCTAATTTGTTAGTTCTGCAAGGCAGCCTAGCCCTCCAGCAGGAGGGGAGTTTGTTACCATTTTTGCTTCAAAGTTAGACTGTGAACTCCAAGTTTCTTCCAAAGTTAGTTCAGCCTACACCAGGGAATGAGAAAGGACAGTGTGGAGATGAGAAGCAAGATGGAGGCAATTAGGTCAGATCTCTTTCACTGTTACAATTTTCTCAGTTATAATTTTTGCAAAGGTGATTTCAATCTGAGTAAGGGGTTGATGATATTTTCTTTAGTTCTTTGCAATGTATATATCTAACAAAGAACACTTATTCATAATATATAAAGAACTCTTTCAAATCAATAAGAAAAAGGCAAGGAATATTTTTTAGATGGGGAAAATACATAAATAAATGCTCAAATTCACTAGTAATCAGAGAAATTAACACAAAGGTATATATATCACAACCTACCCAAAACAATAGGAAAGGGAAAAGGAAGAAGAAAGGGCCTAAGGAAAGAAGGAAGAAAGAGATGAAAGGAGAATATGAAGGAATAGACAATAGCAAGTGTTGATGAGGATTTACAGTAACTGGAAATCTTCCACACTTCTGGTAGAAATATTATATAGTATAACCACTTTGAAAAACTGCTTATCAATAGCCTCTTCAGCTGAACTTCTATATCCCGTTACCCAGTAATTCTACTCCAAGCTCAAATGTACATACGCATAAGAATGTTCATATGTTCACTAAAAGACATGTACAAAATGTACATTTTCTAAAATGTTCAGAGCAACACGTTTTTATTTATATGTTACTTATTTTATTATATTATACTTATTTATTTATTATTAGAAATGTTCTTGCTCTGTTACTTAGGCTGGAGTACGGTGACAAGATCACAGCTCACTGAACCCTCAAATACCTGTACTCCAGCGATACTCTTACTTCAGCCTCTTGAGTAGCTAGAACTACAGGCGCACTTCACCAGGCCTGGCTATTTTTTTTTTTTTTTAATTTTTTTGTAGAGATGATGTCTCAGTATGTTGCCCAGACTCTCCTGGAACTTCTGGCCTCAAACCATCCTCCCACCTCAGACTCCCAAAGTGCTAGGATTACAGGCATGAACCACTACACCCAGCCAGCAACATGATTTTTTAGTAGTAAAAAGCTGTAAACAGTCTAAATGCCCATCAGTAGTGGAATAAATAAATTATGGCACTCTCACACAATGGACTACAATACAATATTGAGAATGAAGGAACACTAGCTACACAATGCAAGATGAATGAATCTTACAAAGATAAAATTAAGCAAAATCAATTCAACACAAAAGAGTAGATACACTGTGATGCTATTTATATAAAGCTTAAAAATCAGCAGAACTAATCTATGGTGCTAGAAGTCTGGGTAGAAGTGAGCAGGAAGGGTATTGATTGGAAGAGGTGGCAAAAGGGAAGTTTTAAGGAGAGGGAATGCTGGTAGTTTTGTATGATTATTATTGATGGTAATAACTAGGCTGGGCTCATTTTATAAACATTTATTGGCTTTTATGAGTTATGACATTTTCTGCATGTACTTTATATTCCATTAAAATTTATCTCAAAAATAAAATTAAATGTTGGTATAAAAGACCTTTGCACCAATAAGAGTATTTCTCAAATTTAAGTACATAGACGAATGATTTTATAAAAAGGAAAATGTTTCTATTTACATAAAGGTCAAAGGATTCAATTTATCAATAGACACCATTGTGAATGATAGTTAATTTAAGAAACTGCAATCTTAGTATTTAAACCTGTTTTCAATTAATGTAACCACAGCAAATGAGAAGTTTAATCATTCTAAATTATAAAATGTATTTCTTGAATTATGACTGTTTTAATCTTACTAGTTTTTTTTTCTTTTTTTTTTTGTCTACAGTTTAAAGAAGCACTTACTGTAGCAGTCTGGATAGGCTAGGATACACAATGGAAAACTAAATCTCAAGACCTCAAAATAACAAGGTTTGTTTCTTACTCAGAGCTTCATGTCCATCCTGGGTCATTGGGGGACTCAACTCTATATCATCCTATTGTAGGATCTAGGTTTTTGGAGAGGCTGGAGAGGCCACCAGTTTTGCTGGTCACTATGGGCAGATAGAGAGTGCAGTAAATGATTCACTGCTTTTTAATGTTTTGCCCTAAAAGTGACACCCATCAGCACCACTCACATTTTAGTACCCAAAACAAGTCCAATGGCCATACCCAACACCAGTGAGGAAGAGAACTACAGTTCTGTCCTCCATTTGAAAGTAAACTTCAGTTACCGAGAGACTCAGTGACTTAGAATCCATCAATTTGTTCTCACATCTACAAGCCTAATCAGAGTGCTTTAACAGTGGTGTGATCAAATAATACTGGGAACACATCCCAGATACATGCGGGGCAATTGCACTTGTTTCACCTACCACTGAAGTCTCAATGTTTGGCAGAATGCCTGACGCACGCCCCGTGCTCCCTGAATGCTTGCTGAATTTATGAAGACAGTTGACAAAATGAATTCAATGCAAAGGGTATAAATATCCCTTATACAAAGATACAAAAAAAAATAAGATTATGTTTCAAAAAGACTGAAAAAGCATCTATTAGAGAGGGGATAAAAGCAGAAAACAAAATGGAAGACCAAAGGGGTGTCATACATAAAGACAGAAAAGTAGAAAAGTACATAGTGGCCAAATGCAAATGACTACAATGGCCCAAATATGTATTGTAAATGAGCAAAATGGCCCAAAGATAAGATAATAGGGAGATGTAGGGACTGTGGAAAACAGAAGACCTTACTCTTCTCAGTTCAGTTATTTCTCATTTCCAGCGAATTATTGTCATCCAGGAACCCACTGTTCCAGATCTTTCAGGTTGTTGTTGTTGTTGTTGTTGTTGTTGTTGTTGTTTGGACGGAATCGCCCAGGCTGGAGTGCAGCGGGGTGACCTCGGCTCACTGCATGCTCCGCCTCCTGGGTTCACGCCATTCTCCTGCTTCAGGCCTCAGACTCCCGAGTAGCTGGGACTACAGGCGCCCGCCACCATGCCCGGCTAATTTTTTGTATTTTTAGTGGAGATGGGGTTTCACTGTATTAGCCAGGATGGTCTCAATCTCCTGACCTTGTAATTCACCCGCCTCGGCCTCCCAAAGTGCTGGTATTACAGGCGTGAGCCACCGCGCCCAGCCAGCCAGATCTTTCAGTTCTTTAGAGTGTTTACAAAGATTTTTAAGTAAAATATCTCAATTTTCAAACACGAAATAAGCCAAACGAAACAATTTTTCTCACCAGATTTACACTCTGGGCTGTTGATGGGTAATGACCTCACTCTCATTACAAGTGAAATAATAGGGAACAGTGATTGAAGAAAGTAGTGATCCCACTGACATTAAAGGCTGAAATCTGGTTGCAGAGGACTTTATTTTTTGAAAAATCTTCAACATTTTCATCTGAATTTTACAGAAAGGTCAATAAAATTCAATGCAACTTGAAAACTTACATAAAGTTATATTTTAATGGTTCTAAAATAAATCCTGGATTCAAAACCTCCCAAACAGTCATTGTTTCCTGCCTATAAGACAAAGACAAAGATTGTTTTCTCAGTTCACATTGCTGATTTTGCGGGATAATAGTTCACGGGCATTGACAATAAAAAATGGAACATGCACCATGAGTGTTTTGCTGTTCCTGCTGTTGTTGAAATACTCAAGACTATTTGGCTTTCATCATCATCAAACACTTATTGTGCAAATATAATGCAAAAGTTTCAGTCCAAATGAAGGAGATAGAGTAAGGTCAAAAATGTTCCCATAACCTAAACATTTTAGAACCAAGTTAAAAACATTCTCTCATTAAGTATTTAATTTAATTATTTTTCAGTGCTTAGGGCTAATAGAGCCTGAACACATAGTTCTCCTTAATTTCATTAGCAGGCATTTATGAGTCCCTGCTGTGGGTGGATATGGAAGAAATATAAACTTCAAGGTATTTTTCTTTCTTATTAAGATAAAATGCAAAACAATTCATCGTAAATTTCAGGGTCAAAATAGAGTAATCTTTTGAGGCTGCTTCTGGGAAGTATTCCTCACCTTCCCCGTTCAACAGAAGGAGGCATTAGTCCAAATTTCTGCAACTAAAATTCATCCAGGGGACACACTTTGATTTGAACACATACTAAAATATTTCTGGGATATTAACTCCTCAATTCTAAAGAGAGCTTCAAAGCAGTCACTTAAGCCTAAATTTAGAATTTATTTCCATTGTTTCCTATTCTTATCCATTATCCCTAATGGTTGAAGGTATTGAAAACATAAGGATTTAGTCAGAAAAGAGGAAAAGTTTGTAGTCTTCTTTTACAGAATTCATACAGCCATTATAAATTGTGCAATTCCTATTGAATTGCACACATCTAGGGTTTTGTTTGATTGAAAAGTTCATTGTGACTATGAATGGAGGGCTCCATCTTTGTTTTTTCATCCCCAACTTATAACACCCTCAAAAGCTTGCAAGGTATGTAGCTAGGGAGAGGTGAATTCCGTTTCCTGTGGGTTTTCTGTAGAAATCCCTTTTTGGATTGTACAGATGAACCTCACTCTGAAAAACAAGAAGAAATGATGGATACTTATCCCAAATGACATGGTAGACCCTGAAGTAATGAGCGTTTACTCAGTTCAATAGCTTATTCCCATCCAGATGTTCCAGGTGCAGGTTCAGTGGGTTTAGTGAGCATGAATAGATCTATTCCACACATAAGAAGTTAAAAAGAGAAGAGGCCACTGAAGAACGTACTTTTCCAAAAAATTCCTGCCTCTCCTGACCTTGCAGAGGGTAGAAATATGAGGACAATGTTCCTAACATTTGTCTTATTTTGTCCCCAGTTCATTTGGGCTCTGGCATTAGACTGAATGGGAGGAAAATCTAGCTTCATCATGTATTAATTTAAGTGACATTGTGTGAGTCACTTAATCTAACTGCACCTCAATTTCATCAGTAGAAAGGGGTTATAATAATAACTACCTTGTAGGACTGTGGTATGAACCAAGAAAATGTCTGTTAAGTGCATCATACAGTACTTTGTACAAAATAAGAATTTAATAACTGCTGTTATTATCAGTGTTTAATTGTTATTGTTATTATTAATATTTTGTTTTCAAATTAGGGGGTGGTTCACTATAACTGCAAATGAATTTAAACTTGAGAATTTCTTTGAACATTTGTCTTTTTTTTAGATTTATTCAAGAAATGTAAGCTTGTTTATCCCAAACTTCAAATATTCCCACAACTAAAGGTGGCTCTTGCAGGCCCTTCTGGTTTTGATAGGTCTTAGGACATTGCTTCACTAAGGTGTTTTGGGAAACACACACACACACGCACATGCACACACACACACAGCAGCAGCAGCAAGTTCATGGTTCTATTTCCACCCATTTATGCATTTATTATGCAAACGCGTATTGCATATGATGGCTCTGTACTTTATCTCAAGATTGCCTTGGCTATAATCTCTAAAAGGATAACTTTTGTGTGTCTTAGATGCATGTTATGCATGTGTGGAGGGAGGTGGTAAGGGCATATAATTTTTAAGATTGTTCACTTTCAGGGGGAATTACTTTAAAGCAAAGTTAAGGGGGTAGTGTGAAGGCTTTTGAAAGTGGTAGGCAGCCACTGCAAACAACCACCTTTCACAGACGTTACTCTCTCTACGGGAGCCAAAGTTCTGGCTGCCAGGTCACTGCCCCTGCTTTTGGCTACTAGCCTGGTCCAGCTTTGGCCAGTCATCTCTAGTAGCTTGATGGAATTGCCTTTTCCTGGGGCTTCACTCCTGCGACATTAATTGACATCTGATTTCTTCCTGAGATTTTGACTGGCAACCCATTCCCGAGTTTAGCTTCAAGTGCTTCTCTAGGAAGCAGGAGCGCTCACCCCAGCCCTACTTATCCACAAGGGATGTTTTCTCTTTACAGAATTAATTGCAATTCAGGGACCACGTTGCAGTTATTGATCTCCAGATCTGTGTGTCTGAAGTTTGATATCTCCTTTGTCTTTGCTTCTCTTTCCCTGTGTACATTTTCCTAGACCAATATAGGTTTCTAATTAAAGGAATCGTATTATTCCTTAGTTCCCGGCTTACTGGATGCAGCAGTCTCCTCTGGAGCTCATGCCTAGAAGGCGTTTAGCTGAGTCTAGTTAGTGTCTCCACAGTAAATTGATCACATTCTGCCAATGTTCATTTTCCATAACCCACTTGTATTCAGGGTTGATCTATTTTAAAAATGTGAAATGACGATCATTTAACAGCTGTTGTGAAAACCATTTACAAAGAACTGTTTTTAGTTATCTTCACTAAAGCAGAGCTCACTGATAGGATCCCTTCTAGTCATCTCTCTGAACCTTGATATATCAACAAGCCATGGTATTGATTAACCCACTTGCACATAACAGGCAGCATAGCATGAAACAAACAAATGCAAATAAACGTCATGGGATATGTGGGCAAACAGATCTGGATTCAAGTCCCTGTTTTCAGCTCCTTGAAAATTGTAGGAACTGAATCAAGTATCATAACCTCCGAGTGTCTCACGTTACTCATTCACACATTTGGTATTGTCTACATTGAGGAATTACATTGAATATTAAATTGTATCAAATACACACACATCATTAAATTATATTGTGTATGTGTGGGATCTTGTTCCTAGTAAATACCTGATCAAAAGAATAACTATCATCATTATTCTTCACTGTGAAAAAAGGAACATTTTCTTGGGACAAAAGTTAACGTGAACTAAGGTTTAAGGCTGGTGTTAAAAAATAAAAAGGCCAGGCACGGTGGCTCACACTTGTAATCCCAGCACTTCAGGAGGCCGAATCAGGTGGATCACCTGAGGTCAGGAGTTTGAGACCATCCTGGCCAACATGGTGAAACCCCATCTCTACTAAAACTACAAAAATTAATCTCAGCTACTCAGGAGGCTGAGGCAGAAGAATGGCTTGAACCTGGGATGTGGAGGTTGCAGTGAGCCAAGATCACGCCATTGCACTCCAGCCTGGGCAACAGAGCAAGACTCTGTCTCAAAAAAAAAAAAAAATATATATATATATATATATATATAATGGATATATAGAGGAAAATAACTTCAAAATTCTTTAGACTGATAAATATGAGATCAACTCCTAAAATGCCCACCAAACTCAAGACTGCCTGGGTGCATCAACTGGGATCTTTAGTGCCTATGAAATTGACTTAAAATCATGGTGCCTCTTGAAGCTATGCATCCAAATCAGAAAGAAATCAGCCCTAGACCTTAGCTTCCTCCTTATGCTCCCTTGCTGCTATTTATGTAAGAGTCTATGAGCTGCAGTGCTTGAAATTACAGCCCTGAAAATTTGGGCTAGATCTTGTTGTTCTCTGTAATGTTGCTTCCAATCTCCTGCCCCTGACCAGCTCCATGGAGCTATACCAAGGCTCCCACTTAAGTTTACCTCCAGCCCCACCAACGTCTTAAAGTACTCTATCATTCACTCTCAGACAGGGAACTAAAAGTAGCTGCTGGCTTCAACCGTTTGCTTGATAAGGAAAAACAAAATTGAGAGAGAGAACAGAAATGATGACAGTTCCCCCTTCCATCCAGGTCTATACCAAAGACCTTCTCCAAGGGTAATGCCTGATTCAATTAGGCTCACCTGATTACATCATCCAAGCTCCCGGAAGGGTCTGCACATGCTGATGTGTAGCCGGGCTCCTGCCCAGCTACTACTATCTCCTACTTGATGTCCCTCCATGCTCCAGAATCTTCTGTCAAATGTGAGAGTCCAATTCATTGTGTTTCAGGCAAGTGGCAAAAGAGGCTTTCTGACAAGAGCTTATTAGAGGCAGCTCTGGTGAGACTCTGCTGTTCAGAGAACCACAATAACTGACAGATTGGCTTTCAAGTTAGACACTTTGCACACAAATTCCAAAGCATCTGTACACTTCAGATTGTGTGTCACTCAGAGGGACTACCATGTAAAAGTCTCCATGTATCCTGATGTTTAAGGCCCAAAGTGACTGTGCCCAAAGCCATCTTAGTCTCTTTTTGTCCTTCCCTCACCTGCAGCCACATCAAATTTTCTTGCCTACCTAACCGAGGCATTGTTAACTCCACAAAAAAGTTACCATGGTTTTATTGTTTACAATTTCTGAAGTGTCCCAAAGTCTTTGCTCCCTTCATTTGTGCAGTTATCCAATACATAAAGATCAGTCTAAAATCGCATCTACTGCTAAAGATTTTCTGTAAATTTCGTATTTTTTTAAATTATTGTTATTTATTTATTTAGTGAAATGGAGTCTCGTTCTGTCGCCCATACTGGAGTGCTGTGGTGCAATCCAGACTCACTGCAACCCCCGCCTCCCAGGTTCAAACGATTCTCCTGTCTCATCCTCCTGAGTAGCTGGGATTACTGGTGCCCACCACCATGCCTGGCTAATTTTGTATTTTTAGTAGAGATGGGGTTTCACCATGTTGGCCAGGCTGGTCTGGATCTCCTGACCTCAGATGATCTGCCCACCTCAGTCTCCCAAAGTGCTGGGATGTATTTATTTATCTTTTTAATAAAACCTGTAGCCCTATATCTGTTCATTTCCTATGACATGACATATTTAAATATATATATTTAATATTTTATAATTATATAACATATAACTATATTACTCATGTTTAATATATTAATAAATATATGAAATATTATATGTGACTATATTAGATGACTGCAGAATATATTAATACATATATGAAATGCAGATTAACAAATATATAAAATAATATATTTAATATATATTTTGGTGATAATAAAAATGATGATGATGATGGTGACTATAATAATAATGGTCATTTAGGTGCTTGTTTTATTTTCAATATTAAAAGGTGAAGTTCTTGGAGGAGGAACTGAGTATATTTTAATGGTTTTTTTCTTCTTCGGCATGTAAAATGGCATATAATAGGTGCTCAACAATACTGATTGAATTGGATTGAGTAATGCATAGATAAAACTTGAAGCAATCCATGCTCTTGGTATATTTGGGTTTTGAAACTTTAGAGTTGTTTTCATTGCAAAGACTTTTCTTTAGACCTTCTCTTTATCTTTCAAAAATGATTGTATCTTTGGAAACTATCAAAGTAAGGGTAATTGAAGGCTTGCAAATGCAAAAGATATAGGCTTTACATTTTGAACAATTTCTTTACATCAATTTTCTTGTATTATTTTATGACTAAGATCTCTTATCTAAGCCCAAGCTAAGAGCGTATAAAGCGGAGATTATTCATAGGTATTCTGAATCCCATTTGGCATTCAGAATTCTGATTATTTCTATTGTATCTAGCACACTATTTCTTTCTTTAAAAAAGTAAAATAAATGTAGCAAGAAGCACTCCTAAAAAAAAAAAAGGATAGTGGATATCTAATAAAAATGATTGTGGCCATTAAGATGCTCATTGTGCTACCTCATTGGAACTTCCTTGAATTTTGATCCCTGGAAAATTAAAGTACAGGGAGGCAAGGAAAGTAGGTTATTATTTCCTGTGCACCACTGCATCTCATTTCCCCATGAAGACGGAATGAACTAGGAGCCAACCATGACATCACAGGGAAGTAGAGAAGGAAGAGTGGCTGTGGAAATAGTCATGATACGAATCACATGGTACACAATTTCAATAGCAGGAAAAAATGGTGCACCTGTAAATCTTCTCCAGCCCTCAAAGTAGAGCAGCGTTTTCATGTGTGTGTAAGTGAGTTTTGTTGTTGGTGGTGGTGTTTTCAGTCTACAGGACCTTGAAGTAAATATACTAAAAAATGCTTTCTGAGATCTCATATGCTGATGACTTAAAGTGATACATTTTTTTTTTAATTTTTGGAATAGACATTCAGAGATTTTGGGGAGGGAGGTAGATCTGCTTGTTTTGAAGCCATGGGAAAGGAATGGTTATTTTCACCTAGCCTCTCTTCTTCTACCATACTTCTCAGGGGTACCTACTGTAACTGGAGCCAAAATAGAGAAGTACCCACCAATCAGGTGCCATATTTTGTCATCTTAGTTAGAGGAAATAAATATCTAAGCAGCTCAACCAATCCAGATGTGGCATATCCAATTTGGCTTTTTCAGGCTAGATTGTGATATATGCATAACAGTGAAATAGCATACAATATTTGTATAACATTTGTTCTACTCAACTATTTGGTAATGTGACCCAGGATGCACTATGGTGTTCCTGTGTTTCTCAGTAATTTGGAAATGTGTCTATGAGATTTAGACAAACGATTCTCAACTAAGATCAATTTTCCACCCAAGAGACTTCAGAGTATGTCTGGAAATATTTCTGACTCTCACATGTTGGAGGATTCTTTGGCATCTAGTAGTTAGTGCCAGGGAGGCTGGTAAAAATATTTAAATGCATAGGACATGCCCCCACAACAAAATTATCTGATCCAAAATGTCAATAGTGCCCAGTAGGAAAACCTGTGCTACTGCCCTTCTTCCCAAGTGATGGTCTGTCTACCAGCAGCATCAGCATCACCTGGAGGCTTATTAGAAATGCACTGTCTCATCTTGCCCCCCAAACTGAATCAGAATCTTGGAGTAAGGCTTCAGTGGATTCATAAGCTCATTACAGTTTCAGAAGCAGTAGTTTGGAGTGGTTGTTATCTACTCTTACTAAATCACAAAGTTGCCTGAGTACCTCTCAAATAAAAATAAAAATTAACCACATGTTGCCATAACCTTGGAGATTATGCTTCACTCATCTGGGATGGTGATCCTAGCAGCAATAGTTTCTAAAAGCTTTTTAAGTTATCTTAATATGACACCAGGGTCTAGACCCATTGGTCTGAAGTAGCTCAGAGTGGGGTGAATGTGTTTAGAATGAACAGATGTCTTGAGGAGACTCTGGCTTATGCCTTTTGTACTGGTATATTATAGCACCACTTTTTACCCTCAAATGTGTTCTGATCTTGGAGTAAGCAACAAGTTCTTTAAAAAATGCTAATTACAAAAGATTAAGATAAGTTGAAATTTATTAAAACTAAGAACTTCTGTTTCTCAAAAGATACCATTAAAATTTTGACAAGGCACTCCATAGAATGGAAATAAGGTATTTTAATGCATATATATAACAAATAATTTGTGTACACTAAATACACAAGTATTCACAAACTCATAAAACTTATTTTAAAAGTATAAAAAGAAAATAACAAATCAAGAAGAAAAAGACAAGACGATCTATTAGGCAAAAGACCTGGACATTCATTTCATAAAAGACACTCTGCAAATGGCTAGCCAACACATGAAAAGAAAAATTCAACTTTATATTTGAGGAAATGAAAATTTATACCACAAGAAGCTATTAATAAAAATCAATTGCAGTTGCTAAATGCTAAAGACTGGTAATACCAAGTACTGGTGAGGTAAGTGAAATTCTCCTCTTGCCTCGCAAATGGTAGAACAAATTGATACAACAACTTTGAAAATATTAGGGGTAGTTTTGTTCCAAATTTCAAACATATACATGAGCATGCCCATGATCAATACTGCTACTTAGGCATACACCCAAAAGAAACACTCACTTATGTTCATCAAAATGCATGTATTAAATTTCCCATAGTAACATTAGTCATCATAGTCCAATGTTGGAAACTATCCAGATGCCCAACAGTAGACTGAATAAATAAATTAACTGGGATACATTCATGACATAAAATATTACACGGCAACAAGTGTGAATGATCTTCAATTAAGCACATGATACAGATGCATCTCTCAAACATAATACTGAATGAGAGTAGCCACATACAATAGCAGGAACAATGATTAAATTTCTGTAAAATATAAAAATCTGTAAAACTATCACATGCTACTAAAAATTTGAACAGTGGTCACCCTTGAAGAAGACCAAGCTGAAACAGAGTGTGAAGCAGAGTCTTGTTGTTCTTAACATTCTTTCTGCAGCTGGACTTTGGTATCATTAATGTGTTTGTTTGGTTACATGCATTGAATTGTATACTTAGGTGCATTCTTGAATATGTATAGTATACCTGATTTATATTTTAAGTATCCCATTTTGGATAATGACATTCATAATCACCCTATTCTGATGAAATGATCTCAAGTCAATAGTACATGGCCTAAAGAGCAATCATCCAAAGTCTACGAGGGCAGCACTCCCTCTATTAAGCCTGAAGAATTCAGAAAGAACTGTAGGACAATTTCACAATGACGCTTTTTAGTATAGCCATTCTTAACCTTGACTGCTCATTGGCATCATGTGGAGAGTCTTTAAAACTCCTGACAATTAAATCAGTAACTTTTAAAGCTCTCCAAGTGAAGCCCATGTGCGAAGGGCTGGGAACCACTATGTTCACCCCACCTCCCTGAGACTATATGGACTTGCCACGTCACACTGTTATTATGACGGTGTTTGCTGCAATTATCTGGACATTCTTAGTTTCCTTAGAACAGTCATTAACTTATTTGCTGTCTCAATAAGCATGCATTATTTACTAGGTCCTGTGTTAGGTGCTAGGTGCTAGGCTATATAAAAATAGATTGTAAACCTCAGGGAGCAAAGACCATGTCTTTTTAGTTCTATGCTATGCTATCAGTGTTAAGCACTGGTATATATAACAGTCTTGAGAGAAACTCTGAAAAACATTCAGGAAAAACAAGAATGAAGGAAGTATTTTAGATAAAAGAAACAACAACGTGAAGGTATGGAGCCATTTCTCACCATTAAAGTGAAATGACCATCTCCTAATCCCAGGCCTTTAGGAAACTCAGCAATTTCAGAAACAGAAGATGCAACTCCAATAATAATAATAAGTGTTGTTGTAAAGACAGTTGGATTTTGCTTTTCTTCTTTCTCTCATCATTTTATCATTAGTGCTCTAAACAGTGCCTATAGATGGTCAGTAAATATTTTTGAATAAATTAATAATTGAACAAGTGAAAGAAAATATTCTTTCAATAAAGAAAGGATGAATTAACGTTTATTGAATAGGAAATATACTCCATCCACATCCTAGGTACCTCATGTATTTATGCTACTTAATAGTCATGGCACAATATAAATGGTAGGCATCATTATCCTCATCTCAAAGCTTACATAAAATACAAGGCACAGAGAATGCAAGAAATGTGCAAGGTCACAAGGCTATTTGAAAGAACCCAGATTCACAGTCTGATCAGTTGCAATTTGGTGTCCCTGCTCTGGGCATCCCACTCCACAGAAAAGTGGGACCATGGTGAGCCTGGCACGTAATCCATCCAGGTCCATCTGGCCATGCTCTCCTCTGGGCCAAGTGCCTTCCCCATGTACCTACTTCCCTAACACCAAGCCTTGCTTTCCTCTTGTCATTCATATTTATAATTCAGCATCAAATTATCTTATTAACACCATGGTGATTAAGATATGATAGATAGAGGGGCCACTATGGAATCAGAGGTGTTTACAGGCCAACTAAGTGGCAATCTCCCTTTTCCCAACCCTAAAGTTTTATTTGGGTCTCCTGAGGAGGAAAAAATAAATTTTGAGAATAACCATTTGTTTTGGAAAAGTAAGCTAAGAAACTGACAGGAGAAAAATGAGCAGGAAACTGCCTGGCCTTTGCTGGATTGTCCTGCTCCCTCCCTTCACCTTCTCCATCTTCATTCTCTTCCCCTTCTTCCTCTTCTTCTTGCCCATTCCCTGAGCCCTTTCCTATCTCATTAGCATTTCTCCTCTGACCAGAATCTAGATAATATTGAAAGAACCATGGCACTCAGAAATCACTTCTGTCTGGAATGAGAAGTGATGGGCTACAGGGCTACAGAGTATTTATGGGGATTTTCAACTTTTCACTGGATAGAGATTTAAAATTCTCACTTAGAGTTGTGGATTCAATCCATTGTGAGGTTGCCTTTTGCTCTATTTTCTCCTTTTCTTAATTTCTGTATTAGTGTGGGTTTCTCAGAGAAATGGAAATAATAGGAAAGAGAGAGAGAGACAGAGACAGAGAGAGAGAGAGATTCACATACATCCATAAGCGTGCACACACACACACACACACACACGAGGGGACTTCAAAAATTCATGGAAAATGTATATTATGAAAAAACTGTGCATAAATTTCAATATTTTTGCACCTAAATAAACTCGTACTAGTTTGTTATAACATACGTGAACAAGATCTACTTTGAGGCACTCAGAAGGACAGGACAGCAGTTTGAGAAGAGCCCCTATCAAAGCGATATGTATTCTGCTAATACTGAAGCAAGAACAATCATCAAATTCATGGCGAAACTTGGCGGTGGAAGTATGGTGAAATCTTGATGCTTTACAAAATGTTTATGGGAACAATGCCCAAAATAAATTAGCAATTTCAGTTTACAAATCAATAACTCATTTTATAAAGGAATAAGATTATGTTGATGATGAAGCCTGCAATGGCAGACTATGCACATCAATTTGCAAAAAAAAAAATGGTCTTGTTTATGCCCTAATTGAAAAGAACTGATGATTAACATCAAAAACAGCAGCCAACACCATAGACATCTCAACTGATTCAGCATACATAATTCTGATGGAAAAATTAAAGTTGAGCAAACTTTCCACTTGAGTGCCCAAACTACTGTACCCACATCAGCTGCAGACAAGAGCAAAGCTTTCAATGTAAATTTTCAGTAAGTTCAATCAAGATCTTAAAGGATTTCTTGGGAGAATTTTAACAGATGAAACACCGCTTTAACAGTATCATCAGAAAGACCAAGCACAGTCAAAACAATGGCTACAGAGAGGCAGAAGTGGTTTGGTCAAGAGCAAAGGTCATGGCAACAGATTTTAGGATGCTCAAGTCATTTTGCTTGTTGACTTTCTGGAGGGCCAAAGAATGATATCATCTGCTTATGAAGAAAGTGTTTTGAAAAATTTAGCCAAATGTTTAGCAGGAAAATGACCATAAAATTCTCAACCAGGGTGTCCTGCTCCACCACAATAAAGCTCCGGCTTTGTCCTCTTATCAAACAATGGCAATTTTGCAAAAGTGTCAATGGAAAATTACTAGGCATTCATTTTACAGTCCTGATTTTTCTCCTTCTAACGTCTTTTTTTCTTAATCTTAAATTATCTGTAAAGGACACTTATTTTTCTTCAGTTAATAATATAAAAAAGATTACATTAATGTGATCAAATTCCTAGGACTCTCAGTTCTTTAGGGATGGACTACACGGCTGGTGTCATTGCTTACAAAAGTGTCTTGAACTTGATGGAGCTTAGGTTGAGAAATAAAGTTTATACTTTTTATCTTTATGTTTTAACTCCATTTCCCATGAACCTTTTTAAAGTCCTCATGTATGTCTGCATGTGTGTGTATATACATACATACATATATAGAGAGAGAGCGTGGGGGATTTAGTTATAAGGAATTGGCTCATGCATTACAGAGGCTGAGAAATCCTAAGATCTGGAATCAGCAAGTTGGAGACCCAGAAGAACCAATGGTAAAATTCTAGTCCAAGTCCAAATGCAAAGGCAGAGGAGCACTGATGTCCCAACTCAAAGACAATCAGGCAGAGAGGAAGAAGTTTTTCTTACTCAGCCTTCTTTTCTATTAGGCCTTCAACATATTAGTTAAGGCCCACTCACCCTGGGGAGGAAAATCAGCTTTGCTTAGTCTACCAACCCAAAGTTAGTCTAACCTAAAAATATCTGCAGACACATCCAAGAATAATTTATTGTTAGAAAATGTCTTTAATTTATCCTTGATTTGGTAGGTTATTTTGATTTTTTAAATTGACAAGTAATAATTGTGCATATTCATGGGGTACATAGTGATATATCAGTACATATAATATACAGTGACCGGATCAGAGTAATTAGCATATCGATCATCTCAAACATTTCTCATCTCTGTGTTGGAACCAGAAATAATTTTCAACGAAATATCTGTGCATTCGATGGCCCCGTCAAGTTGACATATAAAATTAACTATCACAATTTGCATTTTAGCAGTTTAAGCATTGTTTTCTATAATAATCTAATCTTTTTTCTGATGAGTTTGTTCAGTGACTTCAGCCATATTTTTCTGTTTTTTTTTTCCTGTAGATCTCAGAGCCCAGAGTCCCCTCTTCATGCAAGTGCGCACACACACACACACCCCCACAATTTTGGACTATCATTGAGATAGATCTGCACACCACTTTTACTCCTTTTAGCTCTGACTTATTTCAGGCCTGAAAGTAAATATAGTTCCCTTCCCTTGGTATCTGTTAGAACAGCAGTTTCCAAAGTGTGTTCAGAGCATGATAGGTTCCGTGGTAGGCAGATAATAACATTATAGGTAAATGGTTGCTAAAGAGAGGGATAAATGGGAAATAATCTGCAAAAGAGC
The DNA here is from genome assembly GCF_000001405.40 of Homo sapiens. Classification (NCBI taxonomy): domain Eukaryota; kingdom Metazoa; phylum Chordata; class Mammalia; order Primates; family Hominidae; genus Homo; species Homo sapiens. The sequence continues at coordinate 64,735,206 of NC_000016.10, forward strand.
TGCATGTCTAAATTGTTGAGAAGCACTGAATATTATGCCTTTCTCTTGAATTTTTATGATTTATTTTGATAATGCATATTACATAGTAAGGGCTCTGAAAAGTATTTGTTCATTTCTTCAATGTATATCTATTGAGTGTCTACCATGTTTAAGGCACTGTTTTTAAGCACAGGGAATAGTTATTTATGAAATATTTCTCACTCTCATGAAGCTTGCATTTTAGTTAGAGGAAACAAAATAAATGAATGAAGATAAGTAAAGCAGGCAAGGAACTAAAGCATTGAGAAGCATGCTATTTCATAAGGGCATTCGGAGAAACAATCTTTGAAAAAAGGATATTTTGAGCAAAGCCTAAATGAAGAGAGGGTGCAGGACACATGGATATATAGAAGAGCAATGCAACAGTCCTGAAAGGGGAGTATGGTTCAGACATTTCAAAATGATCACAGGCTGTGTGACTAGAGCTACCTAGGAAGAGAGGTGGGAGATGAGACCAGTGCGTTAGTAAGGGGCCAGGTCATCTATTTTAGAAGCCAGGGTGAGGACATCAGAATTAATTATGTGCAAGAGAGCAAGTGGTTGGAAGGTTCTGAAAAGGAGAGTTACATAATCTGGCTAACGTTCTAGAAGGATCGCTCAATGAGGCTTACACATTGTGAGGCCAGGCGAGAGTGTAAGCAAGTCACCAGCTAGGAAGTGACCCCAAGGGTCCAGACACCACAAGACTGGGGACTGGGATAGCTTTGTAACAAATAGAGGATGTCTGGAAAAGTGAAGAGATTATAAAAGTATGTCATTCTCCAGTCAGACATTTTTTTAATTTTATCTAATCCCGAGGCTCTTGGATTTCTTTGCTCATTGCCTTCTCTCCAATTGGCTCTCCCCTCCATTATTTTTCAGAGTTAACAGTTTAAATTTAAATTAGTGTTTTAGCTTTTTACTAGTAAATATCATGCAGTTAATCCTTATGTCTAATATATTTCTATTTCAGATTATCCTTCTGTGTGTCCTGTTTGTATGCAAGCATCCATAGGAGTGGTCACATAAATCAACCACTCATAGTTTTAAGTGGGTTTGTTTATTTCTTTTTTGTATGTGAAAATCTGTCAGTGTGTTCACTTCCCAATAGGGATTTAAGGCCTCAGGGTCAGGGACGACACTACCCTTCTGTCTTCTGTCCAGTGTAAGCCTCAGTGTGTGTTCAACTTTCAGATACCTGAATATGTTTGTCACTTCCTTTATGAAGACCTTCTTGAACACACATGAAGTCGAAGATGCTCCATTCTGGGTCCCTTCAGAAAGGCCTCAGTGTATCTCTGTTCTGGCACCAACACTCTCCATCACTATGCCATGAATGTGGGTACAAACCTCTCCTGCTGCACCATAGGCTTCTGGAAGCAGGGATTGTTCATAGCTATCATTGTGTCAGCAAAATCTCTCACCATGAATGACACCAAGCAGTTATGAACAAATGCCTGATGAGTGGCTGGAAAGTTTTCATTCTTTACTGGTTTAAGAAATATTAATTTATTGGTTTGTTTGTTTAAAATATTTGTTGGCACTTTGCAGATGCCACTTCCACTGATGTCACCACTGCCACCTTGTTCTTTAACTTTGTAGTCAACGGTGAGCACTTGGGCCATGTCTCCTTCCAGCTGTTTGCAAAGTTCCAAAGACAACAGAAAATGTTCATTTTGTGAGCACTGGAGAGAAAGGATTTGGCTATAAGTGTTCCTGTTTTCACAGAATTATTCCAGGGTTTATATGCCAGAGTGGTGACTTCACATGTCATGATGACACTGGCACAAGTCCAACTACTGGGAGAAGTCTGATGATGATAACTCCATCCTGAAGCATACAAGACCTGGCACCTTGTCCATGGCAAATACTGGACGCTACACAAATGGTTTCCAGTTTTTCATCTGCACTGCCAAAACTGTGTGGTTGGGTGGCAAGAGTGCAGTCTTTGGCAAGACAAAAGAGGGCTTGAATATCTTGGAAGCCATGGCGCACTTTGCTTTCTGGAATGGCAAAACCAGAAAGAAGACCACGATTGACAACTGTGGACAACTCCAATAAATTTAACTTATGTTTTGTTTTAACTACCAGACTAATTTTTTTATAGGCAAGAGAACATTCCTCCACTCCATTTGCTCAAAATATCCTATAATCTTTGTGTTCTTGCTGAAGTTCTTTTGGTTCCACATTTTCCTTAGTCTGCTCCACCTCTAGCAGATTGCAGAGTTAAGTTTATGATTATGAAATAAAAACTATATAACAACAAAAGTAATATTTACTGAATGCTTACTAATCCAAGGAAAATGATGCTAAATACACACACACACACACACAGATGCACGCACACTCTTACATTCTTAGATTTATATAGGAAGATATAAATTAGATATAGATATATATAAATATAGATATAGATACAAATGGCTATGGTTTGGATATGATTCGTTTGACCCCATTAAGCCTCATGTGGAAATTTGATCCCTGATATTGGAGATGGGGACTAGTATGAGGTGTTTGGATCATGAGGGTAGGTTTCTCATGGATGGGTTGGTGTCATTCTCCTAAGTGTGAGTCAGTTGTCACTCTTAGTTTTAATAACACGTTGTTGAAAAGACCCTGGCACCTCCTATGCTTTCTGTCCTGCTTCCTTCCTCTTACCATATGATGCCTGCTCCCCTTCTCCTTCCACCATTAGTAGAACTTTGAGTGCAGCCCTCCCTAGGTGCAGACACTAGCACCATGCAATTTGTACAGGCTGCAGAACCATGAGCCAAATAAAATCTCTTTTTTTATAAACTATTCAGCCTCAAGTATTCTTTTATAGCAACACAAACAAACTAAGGCACAGATACATACATACATACATATATATATACATATATATATATATATATATATATATATATATATATATGTTCATCTGTTGGAAGAGATGGTTAAGTCTATAGAGTTTTACAATGTATGATAGAAACCATTATCTGATTGATCATGACGCCATGCTTTTCATTTAATTCCTTCAAGCAAATATAGTTCTGCCAATTACCTTATTTTTTCTCATGGCTTTTTTCCCCACAGACACTGCTGTATTTAGAAGTTTCTATTTTACTTCATTAAAAACTACAAAACCAATCTATGTCATATACCAAAATATTTGAAATAACTCTATATATTTATTGAAAAATAAAGGAGGGGAATGATTGTCATGAGAGCAGAGCTCAGACATGTCTTCATCAGCCTGGGAAAGAAAATGATGGAGGAGGAGGTGTAGACTGTTCTGGCAGGAAGTGAGGACAGCAATTGCTGTAGCAACTCAGAGGCATTTCTGAAGCACACCCCAAGCATCCGAGCTCAGCAGATCCAGGGGGCTATGGCAGGCAGAAGCATGTTCCTGTGCTAGGGGGCCTCCTATTCTTTCAAAATAAAGAGACAATTTCTTTCTTGGGAGGGTGAGGAAAACAATAAATGTATGTGAAAAATAAAGTATTGCTTAAGCATAGAATGTTTTTGGAGAACAATGATTCATTCAATGGGAATTTTTTCAAAAGTGAGCAGGAGGAAAATCTAGAAGGCAAGGAATGTTGTGGGTATTCAGATAGCAAGTAGTTCAGAATAATTGGTCCTCAAGTGCTACTGAGGATGGTAATAAATAAATGGAAGGGGTGGACCAGAGTTTGGACACTGTCCAATGAGTGCAGTGGGTAGAAATTGGTGGAGCTTAAATATCTGTTTGGGCTTGGCACAAGGCTGTAATCTCAGCACTTTGGGAGGCTGAGGCAGGAGGATTCCTTGACACCAGGAGTTGGAAGCTACAGTGAGCTATGATTGGGCCACTGCACTTCAGTCTGGGTGAGGGTAAAATCTTGTCTCAAAAAAAAAAAAATCCCATTTAGTGAAATGGTTGAGTTTGATTTATCTAGGATTGTCTCCCCAGTTTTTCCTACAGATGCTGTTGACTCTGATACCAACATTTTTCTCAACCAGTGCAGAGAAAAGTATCAGAAGATAAATATATTGAAAAACAGATCAGGGCATTCATCAGAGAACACTGAGACCCATGTGATTAGAGAACATAAGATATGTCTCATAAAGATAATACACACAAAGGGCTTGATGAATCGGTACCATGATGTCTTTCAGTTGGTAGATGGGAATGAACTGAATTAAATGCTGGGAAATGTTATTTGTGCTTCCAAATTTCTTGCACTTGCTTTATCTGAAGTTCTTGTGTCATTGTGAGGAAAAAATTAATACTGATGCAAGTGACAAAAAGGGCAGCTAAAATTTGTAAGAGAGTAAATCATAATTATCTTTATCATAATTATCATCGACATTCCTGTGCTCAAACAATTAAACATATCTCACATATTTTCTCTTCAGACCTAAAAGTCAATACAACAATAGCAGTGAGCCTATGCATTTAAGGAATACATTAAATATAATAAAATGATGTGTATGCAAGTTAATATCTAACAGTGATAGCTAAGCTGCTTCTGTCTTATAAGCAATATCTTTTGTGAATGGTGTTTTCAGGTTATAGTTCTCTCTCTTTTTAAAAGAAGTCCTGTAAAGAAAATCTCTGTTTCTTTTCTGTGGCCAATAATTTTGGAGGACACTGTATGTTCTATTGTTTGTATCCACCTGAAACATTCATTAAATAATTGAGGAATGGGAAAAATGCTTATCTCCATATTAACTGACATGGTTTCTCTTTCTATAGGCTATGCATTAATCAAAAATTGACTGCTGCTTTTGGCCTTAATATCGAGAATGCCAAGAGATAGATTTACTGCTAAAGTCACAATATTAATTTTCGAGGATATTTTTTCCTTCCATTTCAATGCTATTTTTCTTTATGCCTACTATTTTATCATATGCCACTTCAAATCAGCCTTGGAAATGGATGGAATATAAATGAATATATTAGCAAGCAACAGCATAAATAAATGGGAGATGAGAGAGAGTAATATGGAAATTGTAAGATCCAAAAGGGTAATTCTTCCTGTGTAAATTATAATCAGCAAATATAACTGGTGCCTCAGAAGTAATGCATTGTCCTAAAACAATGATTTGAAAATAGAAGCAGAAATTTTTGACAACTATTAAGAGGTGAGGGAAAGGGGAATGCATCAATAATGTATGTGAAGAAACCCTAGAAATTGTTAAGATGCCATAATTTACTAATATCACTATGTCAAAAAAAATAGCTGGTAATGCTGCATTTTGACCAAGTGGGAAACAGACAATGCTCAACATGGTTAAATGCAGTGAAAATTGATGCAACCATTTTGTAAGGCAATTTAGCAATATCTGTCAACATTTCACACACGTATATTTTTGACCCAGCAACTTTTTGAATGTGCACAATACATTCACTTACCCAGCGGTACAAAGGTATTCATACAAAGATGTTTGTTAGTAATAGCAAAATTCTAAAAAATGTTTTAAGTATCCATCAATAGTGGGTCAAATAAATGATGGCATTATATATAGCAGAATTTTATGCAACCAATAAAAAGAATGAAGCAGATCTTTTTGTGTAAGGATGGGAATTTTTTAAAGTATTTAACTTAAAATGTTGGAGAATATATATTTACTTACTAATATATTTGTTTATAAAAAACCATCATTTTTAGTCAGACGTGTAGACTATGATGATAAAGAAGAAATAGGTCGATCAAATAGACACATAGATAGATTGGCTTATATACACAAGATACTCTTAATAGTCATGCTTCTAGGGAATGAAACTGGTGAAAAGATTCATAGAGTGACTTTTATTGTTTAATTCATTTCCATTCTGAAGTGTTTAATTTTTTTCCACAAATATATATAATTATTATGATAATTGTAATGAAAACTAGCTTTAGAAAAGAGCTTATGGAAAGCAAATAACTGTAAATCACCAAGGGGAACTACACTGTATAATATCTTCAGCAAAGTCCGTGATAGAGAGTGCGCATTCATTATGAAATTAACCAACATATAGATGTATATGTCTAGTATTGCTATGGCAAAATATAGGAGGAAAGTATGCTTACTGTGGTCCACATACCAGGCTTAGTATCATAAGGTAGAAAACATTTTCAAAGACTGACTCCATTTCTGTTTTTCAGAGTAAATGCCGTTTTGTCAATGAAAGAGGGATGCTTGCGATGATGTGAAGGATGTCTGAGAAGAGGTGTATTTCTGAAGGAAAGAAAGAACACAGCATACTCCTTGGATAAATCTCATTTTCTTCCTTGTTAAGCCTTTTTTTCCCATTGCATTCTCTACAAACCCCTGGCCCACTCTTTCCTCCTCTTTCTACTTCCTTCCTTTCTCACCTGTACCCCAAACTATATTTGTAAACTCTTGCAGTGTTACTTTTGCACAGGGCTTGAAATATTTAACACCTTTGTTTTTAATACATGAGAAAAATAAGATCTATAGGAAAGGAAACAACTTAACCAGTTTGAACAGGTAATTGATAGACTACAGTCCTCTCTCAAATGTTTACTAATGACACATATGCATGGAGATGGGAATGTATACATACACACACACACATACACACACACACAAACACACGTATTGACTGGTTGAAACATGACAGTTCTCCAGTACCTGGGAATTAAAGGAGGGTGCATTAGCCATCCCTACCTTTACCTCAATATCCATTTTAGGAAGGATTAGAAATTAATTTACATGATTGAACATACCAAGGGCTTTGAAAGCAGAAAAATATGAAATTCAGATTTTTCACTTCTTCATCCTGGAGGTTCAGTTTTCCCAACACTAAAATGAGGATAGTAACACCAAACATGGGAATTGTTGAAGTGATCAGTGAAATAGATGCTGTATTATAGGCCTAGCTCAGTTTATGCTCTTATCTTAAGATTCTCTCTCTGGAAACCAAACCACCCCTGGAATGGGCTCTGGTGGTCCTTACATGAACATAAGGCATGCATAACCCCTTTGATATTGTGAGTGTTTCTCTGCATATGAGCATTCTTTTCTTCAGGGAAAAGTTCCTAACTTTTATTAGATTCTCAAAGTTGTCTGTATTTCCTATTATTTTAAGAAAACTGACTTAAATAGAAGGTGTAATTGCGAATGTTAACAATAATAATTACAAACACCATAACATTACTAATATTTCACTACAAACAAATAATAATAGTATTATTATTAATATTCAATTATCTGAACATGAGCCAAAATTGGTGGATGAATCACATTTAAATCATCGGGTGCTTTGCTTTCACCAGGTAAAAAGTTCCAATTTCTTCTTATTACATTAAATCTTAAGAACCTATTTCACTCTTATCCACAAAAAGGAACTCATTTCCCCTAGAAAGGCAGGCTAATGAGGTCTGCTTAATTTATAGCTGGGTCCATTTATGTGGTGGTTTCATTAACAAAGACATCTATTTAATTCAATAGATTCCTACACGTGGTACACATAGAAGACACTACTACCCCCATTCACTCCCCATCCATTCATTACCCTAATGCTTCTGACACACACAAACAAACCTTGTTTTACAAATTGCTTAGAGATTTGATTATTGCATCATGCATTTTGTTGTAACAAGAAAGGTGATTTAAAATCATTAGTCCTAAAATTTAGTCCTGTGTGTGCTTTGAAGTCAAGGGGAACAATTTGTCAGCTGGTTGATCTTTTGCTTCTAAAGCTAGTTAACTGATCAATCTAATGTCAAAGGAACAGAGATAAATGGGAGACATTTTACTATGTAGAAAACGGTACATGAAGATAAATCCAACACTGTGCTTTATTTCATCTGCAGTTATCTTTGTAGTAATTGCTTTGGAAGACTCAAGGTGCTCTTTGCACATAGGGAGTGTTAGAAGCCTTTAAATCATCTGCATAGACTAGTAGCTTCTTGCTGCGAATCTTGCTTTGCTCCATTTTTGGGTAGAGAGGACAATAATCTCCTACTATAAATGCAAATTTGGCAAGGACCAAAGGTTGGGATTCTTGACTAGTTGTTTATTGAACAATCAATTCATACATTTCTGAAATTTCTTGACATGCTTGCAAAGTAGATCCATTCCTTATTGAATTCATTTGATTTTCACTATGACCATAATGATTAAACTAGTTCTGGAGTAAACGTTTCCTAATGAACAGATTTGGATGTACCAGCTGTTCCAGTTATCTCTGTACAAAACAACCCCCCCAACTATCTGGCTTAAAACAAAAGACATATATTTCATAATTTTGTAAATCAAAAATTGAAATTGAGTGACAACAGCAAAGGAAACTTAAAAATATTTAGCCATCAATGAACTGTAGGGTCCAATATACCTTCATTTACATGTCTGGTACCTTGGATGCAGGGAATGATTGGAAGGCTTGTCTAGTAGACTCAGCTGTGACTGCCAATCAGAGTACCTCCATTTGGCTTCTCCAACAAGAAGTATCAGATAAACTTCTTACTTGACATCTCAGGGCTCTCAGAGAGTTCTAAAAGGCCATACTGGAAGCTGCAACAGTTCTTATCAGAGTATCAGTTGCTACTAGGTCAATTTATGGACAAATCACTCAGGTCATCTCAGACTCAAGGTAAGAGAAACTAGACTCTACCTCATAGAGAAGAGAAAAACACGGTATCCATATCCTTCTTTAATCTACCACTCCAGAACATTTTGATTCTATACAAGACCCATTATCAAATCATTCTGCTGCCATCACCTCAAGGTTTTATATGTTTTAGAATGTTCAGCAAGACAGATCATGGTCAGGGTAAAAGAGCAGTAATTGGTTAAGTAGCTATTATTCTGACAAGCTACAAAAGGGACTTGCATTTTCTTAACTCTCAGAAATTTTTTGTATTTTTAGTAGAGACGGGGTTTCACCGAGAAACATCTTCTTACTGAAAGTTATGTGAACACCCATTAGAAACCAGGGAGAGAGATTTCATTTCTTCCAGAGTAGGTTCAATGCCTAGTTTTACCCTATCAGAATTTTGTCCGGGGCACTTATCCAGTGACAATTTTTTTTTCATAAGAGCTATTTTTCGTAAGACTGCCCAAAATCTTAGGAATGATCCAATTTTCCAGTAATGACTAATATATTAAGATGCATATGAAGGCTCCTCTTTCATTATGATAGTCACCCTCTCACCATTGCCTACCGAATACTGTCTCAACTCATCGAACTGCCTGACTTTTCACAACGAAGCCTTTAAAGTTTATTCAAAACTTCTCTCCTCACATTCACCCTGTCCACCAGCGAGACCACCCCTCCCATTGTCTCCAGAATAAATATGGTGTTCCCACCTCTGGGAAAGTTAACAATGACAATTATATCAATTGCTAATATTTGTTGAACACTTACATCACTTGTTTGCTCTTTAGGCTACGTTGATTGATGTGAATTGCAATGGACACTCCGATGCCGTTGGGAAGCACTTCTTGTCTGTTGTACTCAACACAAAGAACTGTCCACTCTTGATATTTTTTTTGTAAAAGCCTGTATCATGTCTTCCCAGACAAATGTTCCAGGAAAGTATGAGATTTTGTCTCGTACTACTTGTTTTCACACACAATGTCTCACACAGAGCAGGCACTCCACAAATAAATTACTAGTCCAGCAACCCTTTATTACACAACTGTTACATACTCCATGCAAACAAGGAAAGCAAGTTAGAACAAATGAAACACAACTTCAGGAATAGTTTGTTGTTCATTTGAATTTGCTGATATTTTTATGTTTGACTTTAGAGGAATTTGAATGATTTAGGTCGGAATTGCATTTCTACAGCTGGCTGGCAGGACAACTTTGAACAGTCTACAGAGCTCCTATTTTCCTCTCTCTGAAGTGAGGGTAACAACTGGTAAAAGTGTTGTATGTCTAAAATCACAAAAGTGATGTAAAGCTTTACTTTTCAAATTTTCTTGTGCTTAAAAATCATCTGGAATCTTGTAAAAAGGGCTGTGGTCTAAAAGAAAGAGCCTGAGATTCTGCATTTCAGACAAGCTCCCAGAGAAGGTAAATGATGGCCCATCGGCTACAGCTTGAGTAGCAATGCTATAAAGCACCTAATATTAATACTCACTCTGAAATGTTGTCCTCCCCTTCCTCCCTCCATCTTCCTATTTGAAAATTCCAGGAGACAGAAATGGATTTTTATTTACTCCAAACGTCCAGTCTGATGGTCTCTCAATTGTGTTCCTCGTTTAAAATAGTGCGGCTCCTGCACTTTGTTTAACTCTGCTTGACAATCAGTGATTTGTGATTCTGCTCTTTCCTGAGCATGTTTATAAAATGACGACCTTGGGATTGGAGTCTCTGCTGCCCAAATGCAGGGAGCAGACTTTCTATGGAAGAATTGTGAAAGGTCATTTTACCACTGTTTTTTTCTTTCTTCTTGTCTTTCTTTTTGTTTTTTTGCCTTGGCTTCATATGCTAATGGAATCAACATCCCCATTTGCTATTTTAATGTTTCTTAGAAAGCTTTATCTCAGAATTTCCTATGGTTTGTATGTGCATTAGTCTTCTAGGTGAATCAGAGGTTTCCTGCTATAACACCATGAGGTTTCTCAATAGACCCTCTTGGCTCCTTGTTGAGTCTTTTGAATGACTTTATTATAATAAAGTTGACTTGGAGCCAGAGGAGGCAGAGCTCCAGTGTTGGGCTTTCTGTAGAATTTTATGGGTTTTTCTCAGAAGTTTAATGCCAGTTTAATGGAGTTTTATAACTATTAATACTCTACCACTCCAGCTGCGCTAAGAAATATGTAACTAAACAATAACTTGAAATAGGTAAATTCATGATTAAGTTGCACTAAAAACTAATGCCTCTTGGCCATAGTTCATAATTTCCAAAGGCACATCATTTAGAATGATTGGTAACTTTAGCCTTGTAACTCTTTCAAGGAGAAAGGCTGTGAGCTTAAATCACTACATTAAGCTGACAGTGAGGCTCATATTTTCTGAGCTAAAGATATATTTTTATGGCCACACAGTGGACTCTGTTTATCACTCATCATAAACCATAGGAAACCATTTTTGTTTTAAATTAGGTGCTTAGGCTTTTGTCCTGTAATCTGTTTCTTTATTTCCCCTTTTCACTTTTGTTGGTCCATTTTCAACAACTCCCAATCGTCTTCCGTTTCCTGAAAACAGCTCATATTTTATATCTCAGCTTCTTTAAAGGTATTTCATCCTAGTTGAGGTCACCTTAATTTACACCTCAAATTACAGTTCCAGAGCCAACTTCTTTGCTGCTGATATTGAGTAGTAATCCTACTAAAGAGTCCAATTTTAAAATGAGGAACAGTCTTATCCTACAATGCCAGGCATAAGAAGCCCATGAATTTTGCATATATCTTTAGTACTTTAATTTATTGAATTACATTTCTCCACTTCTTTGAGCCACTTAGTCAATTACACTTCATTCTGCTGCCTCGTCTGGTTCTAGAAGCTGTCTGTTCACAAAGACCATAACTAAGTCAGTTTTTCCCAGACGAGGCAACAGCCGCAAATCATCTGAAAGTGAAATGACTGTGGAATTTGAGGTTTAATTGTTTTTAAGCCATCTTGATTATGTTTATTAAAATAGAAGGTCTTGTCAAGTTAGACCTCTCTCTATTTCTGTCTGTCTTTCTCCTCACCTCCCTCACTGACTTTTCAGCTCACTGAGGCCCATCCTTTTATTGCCTGATTTTATACAGTTGGATGAGAAACACATACTGGGCAGTGGCCACAGCCCCATCAACTGAAAGGAATATGATGGGATCAGAAGTCCTCTTAATGAAAAACTGTATCTTTAATTCCTGTGGAATTTTAAAACATGTGCAGTGCAATCTATAAATGGCCAAATAAAAAAAGAGCAAATAAACATAAGATGTTACTGTGATCTGGTATAAAGCCTATATGGCATAGCTGAGTTTCTACCCTGCCCTAACTCCACTTATCTTGAAGAAAAAGGATGCCTGTGATCAAAATTTTTCTTTGCAAACCAGACTAGCTGAATTTCTACCCTGCTCTGACTCCACTTATCTTGAAGAGAAAGGATGCCTGTGATCAAAAGTTTCCTTTGTAACCAGACCAGTTGAAACTGGTTAAAACCAAGATAGCAGACCAAACGATGTCAAAAGACTTTAGGCTTCATTACGATCTCATTTCCATGCTAAATGACACTTCCAACAGTGCCATGACAGTTGATATGTGCCATGACAGCAACCAGAATAAGCCAGAAAAGGACAAAAAGGAAGGCAGCACTCTGGTTCCAGGAAGTTCATCACCTGTATTAGTCTGTTTTCATGCTGCTGATAAAGACACACCAGAGACTGGGTAATTTATAAAGTAAAAGAGGTTTAATGAACTTACAGTTCCATGTGGCTGAGAAGGCTTCACAATCATGGTGGAGGGCGAGGGCGAAAGGCACTTCTTACATGACAGCAGCTAGATGGAGTTAAAGAGCCAAACAAAAGGGCTTTACCTTTATAAACCCATTACAGACTTAATCACTACCATGAGAACAGCATGGGGAAAACTGCTCCCATGATTCAATTATCTCCCACTGGGTCCCTCCCACAACACGTGGGAATTATGGGAGCTACAATTCAAGATGAGATTTGGGTGGGGACACAGCCAAACAATATCACCACCCATTTCTGGAAAAAGACATAGACATTCTTCCTCTCATGTTTAATGTCCAACACCTTCATCAGAAAACCCTATATTTTAACCCATTCACTCCTCACTAGTCCAGGAGGAGTCATGCTCCTGTTTCTCAGTTCCATGGTGATTGAGTAAAGCCTGCACTGCTTGACACTCACTTTCAGTTTTGTATATTGGCTTTCTGACACCAAACAGAGAGACCCCATCCTTGGGGAGACCAGCTTTGTGGGTAACAGTTTATCATGTTTACAGTGATTTTTTTTTTCGTAATTTCTAGAACTGTTAAAAGAAAGCTTTAACACAATATCTTCTTACACAATTGAATAAGGAAAGTGGGCCTGCTCCTGAGCATTGTAGGAGGTAAAACTCTATGTTTTGCTCCTGATTACTTTGGAGCTTTTTCTCACTCAGCTCTGTCTGCCTTTCTATTGCCTTTATTTGTTTACATGCCTAACTTTATCTTTCCAGACTTGAACTCTTCAATTGTGTAGCTATTACCCATATGAGGCCATTGAGCATCCAAACTACAGCTAGTCCAAATTGAGCTGTGAATACCAAATTTCAAAGACTTAGCACAAAACTAGAATGCAAAGTAGCTCAGTGACTCATATTAATTATGTGTTGAGAGGCTAATATGGTGGGTTATTTTTTCATTCATTGTGTGATATTGGGTTACTTAAACATTTGGGGTATAATAAATAGGTTAATTTAAATATATTGTTAGAATTGATTTCATCTGTTTCTTTTTATATGGCTACATTATTTATACATAACTTTTTACATTATGTTTATAAATTACATATATGACTTTCATCTAAAGCTTGAATTATATTTCTATTGGAGAGGGCTATTCTAGACTGTAAGCCCATAGAGCAGAAACAAGTTCTTATTTCTTTTCATATAATGGGTGAGAAGTTTAGGAGGCAGTGAATGATTGGCTAAATCAGTAGATATACTGATTAATTGATTTACTATTTATTCTAATTTAAACTCCATTTCCAAATAGAGTAACATGCTTCATATTCCATACATGCATGATACTGTTTTCTGTGTCCTAGTTCAGAGAGTACCAACTTCCAACCACTGGTATTTCTGGATAGGTTACAGGTAGGCCAAAAGATTGGTTCTGTCATCCCTAGAGATTGACAGATGGGAAATGAGGCTGACTGGGCCCCCAAGTCCACTTCTTTCCGCTACAAGCAGCCTCATCCATTTAATCCAGGGTATTGTACAAATACTATCATGTCCTCTGTTTATCATGATATAAAAATGAGAAATAATGTCAAAATCTTGTATGATGGAGTGGAATTGGAATTTTCTCTATGTTTTGCAGAAACAGCTTAGGAAATTAATTTAGTCATGAAATCCGTACTGGAAACTTTCTTTTCTTTTTTTCTTTTCTCTTTAAACTATTAGAATTGGTGGGTATAAATCTGAGGGGTAATCTCACTTTAGAGTTTCATAGGTTGAGGATTATTTGAAATTGGTGTAAAGCTTCCTTCCAAAATTCTCTGAATGTTGTAGATATAAATTGTGTTATTTATCTGGAGTATATAATTCCTCCAGTGAAATACATCCTAGACAACATAAATACAAGTTACTGGGAATTATGAGCCACTGAAGCATTTAGAACTTTTGGCATAATTTGCATGCCAAACTGATGGGGTATTATTATACTTATTTTGCAGTAGATGCAACTGAGCTTTGAGTAACATACCAAAATTCACATGACTATTCTGTTACAGATCTGGACTTTGAATTTTGGCTTGTTTGCTCCCCTAAAGCTTTACCATATGTTGAAAATGTGTTTCTTGGAGAGGGAAATAATCAAGAAAATTAATCACAGTTATAAATTATTGAGATACAAATTTGTCTTGCCTGTATTTCACTCCCATTGCACTTCCATGCCTCGGGAGCTTTTCTAAGACAGAAGACATTGTTGAATCCAAAGTCTATACCTAAACACTGAAGAGAAAATACTGTATGTATAAAAGGGGAGAGAGGAAAGAAAACAGAGATTACCAAAATCACAAGGAGAAAGAACCAGCCCTTGACCCATTGCATCTTGGGCTTGCATGGGTTTTCTTGCTTCACTGTTGACAAGGAAGCAGCAGAGTGCCAGACCTAAAAACCAAACAATTACAACAACAGTGGTTCATTATTATTATTATTATTATTATTATTATTATTATTATTATTATTATTATTTTGAGATGGAGTTTCACTCTTATTGCCCAGGCTAGACTGCAATGGCGTGATCTTGGCTCACTGCAACCTCCGCCTCCTGGGTTCAAGTGATTCTCCTGCCTCAGCCTCCTGAGTAGCTGGGATTACAGGCGTGCACCACCACGCCCGGCTAATTTTGTATTTTTGGTAGAGTCGGTGTTTCTCCATGTTGGTCAGGCTGGTCTCAAACTCCCGACCTCAGGTGATCCGCCCACCTCTGCCTCCCAAAGTGCTGGGATTATAGGCATGAGCCACTGTGCCCGGCCAACAACACTGTTCTTCTAGGCAAGGACAAGAGTAAGGGACTATCTCCAGTGTTGGGAAATACAACTCAGCATGAATAGAAGTGAAGATAAGACAGCTAATAAGACAGCTCTGACAAAAGGACGTTTTGTATCCCTCAAAAGTTTGCATGCGTTCTTTTTTTTGTTTTTTGTTTGTTTGTTTGTTTGTTTTGAGATGGAGTTTCGCTCTTGTTGCCCAGGCTGGATTGCAGTGGTGCGATCTTGGGTCATGGGAACATCCGCCACCTGGATTCAAGCCATTCTTCTGCCTCAGCGTCCTGAGTAGCTGGGATTACAGGCATGCACCACCATGCCCAGCTAGTTTTGTATTTTTAGTAGAGATAGGGTTTCTCTGTGTTGGTCAGGCAGGTCTCAAACTCCTGACCTCAGATAATCCGCCCCCTTTGGCCTCCCAAAGTGCTGCAATTATAGGCGTGAGCCACTGCGCCCGGCACCTGTCTTTTTTTAAATTTTCTTTTTCTTTTTGAGACAGGTTCTCACTCTGTCACCCAGGCAGGAGTGCAGTGGTGAGATCTTGGCTCACTGTAGCCTCGACCTCCTGAGCTCAAGCGATCCTCCCAAATCAGCCTCCTGAGTAGCTAGGACTACAGGTGCATGCCACAATGACTTGCTAATTTTTCTATTTTTTATATAGATGGAGTTTTGCCACATTGCCCAGGCTGTTCTAGAACTCCTGCGCTCAAGGATCCACCTGCCTCAGCCTCCCAAAATGCTGAGATTACAGGCATGAGCCACCTCATGCAGCCCCAGTTGTCTTATTTTTAAGTTGACAAATAACAATTATATACATTTATAATGTACTACACATTTTGAAATATGCATGTATTGTGGAATGGCTCAATCAAGCTAATAAACGTATGTATTATTTCATGTATTTATTTTTAGTGAGAATACTTAAGGTTTACTTTCTTAGCAATTTTCCAAGTGTAGAGTGCATTGTTACTAGCTATCATGCAATAGCTCCCTTGGACTTATTTCTCCTCATTAAAATTTTGTATTTTTTGACCAGCATCTCTTCAATCTCTCCAACCCTTAGCCCCTGGTAACCGCCCTTCTATTCTCTACTTCTATGAGTTTGAATTTTTAAAAGCCCATGCATAAATGAAGTGAAATCAATCTAAGTACCCATTCATGGATAAATGGATAAAGAAAATGTGGTATATACACACAATGGAATATTATTCAAACTGAAAAAAGAAAGAAATGTCATTTGCAACAACATGGATTAACCTGGAGAGCATTCTGTTATGTGAAATAATCCCCTTCTGTACTAACTTCAAAGCCAATCTAAAAGCAGTCTGAGAGGATGGAATGGGGATCACAGTGGGAGCCAGATGATTCCCACAGCAGTGACTCTTCCACGCAGTAGGTTCCATAGCCTGGGTAACTAACTGTTCCCCCCCAGATGACATTCTAGCAGAATTCTGGGAGATGACTGCTTTGTCTCTGAAAGAACAATGATTTCTTCCTTGGAAGCAAAGACACAGAGAGTGAATGGCCTTTTCTATTCTCAGGAAATGTGGTCCTTTTTAAGTGAACTACATCTCTCTTTGTGCCCTCTGGCCTACTCCAAGTGCTTTGCACTGTTTATCACCCTTAATCACCATGAGTGACAGAAAACCTGATAATAGACCAGGGATGACACTGCTGGTGGGGTGACCTCTTTTGAAATGTCAGACCTGAATAAGCTATATTTACATTTCTTTGGGCTCCAGCTTTTAAAAGATTTGTATCTTCCATACCAAAAGGATGAAAGTAAAAGTTATTTTGGTATCCATCCAAAATTGCATCTTAGAATTGGAATGTGTCTACATTCTCCTCCCAGCTGAGAACTCCTGTGTGAGGATCCACAGTCAACAGTAATGCAGCTGCTAGAAGCATTGCACACACTCCATCTTGGAAATATTAAAATCCATTAAAAATAAAGAAGATCATCAAGGTGCGTATTAATCACTTTAAAGATGCTTTCTTTCTTTCTTTTTTTTTTTTTTTTTTTTTGAGATGGAGTCTTAATCTGTTGCCCAGGCTGGAGTGCAGTGGCACAATCTCAGCTCACTGCAGGCTCCATCTCCTGGGTTCAAACAATTCTTCTACCTCAGACTCCCAAGTAGCTGGGATTATAGGCATGCGCCACCACACCCAGCTAAGCTACTTTTCGTATTTTAGTAGAGATGGGGTTTCACCATGTTGACCAGGCTGGTCTTGAACTCCTGACCACAGGTGATCCGCCTGCCTCAGCATGCCACATCCCAAAGTGCTGGGATTACCCATGAGCCACTGTGCCCGGCAAAGACAATTTCTTTATTATGTTGTAATATATACCGCAGGTAGGATTCTAAGTCAGAAAAACTGGGTTGGATCCCTGCTCTGTTGCTTGGATTGGCTATCTTGGGGAAGCCCCGTATTATCTCCAAGGATATTTCTTGGTGGATATAAAGGAGACAATAATACATTACTTTAGTGAGAATTAAGTGATGTAATGGATGAACGGATGTCTGTCACAGCACTTGGCATGTATTAACTACTTCAGAAACCTTAACTTTCTACCATTCCTTTGTTTTCTCCTCACCTTAATTGGGACCCTCTCACCAGAGGAAAACAAAATTATCCTGGAAAAAACTAGATCACCTCAGCATGTTCAGCCCAAAGTATGATTAAGTAATGTGCTCTGGCTAGCTACTGTGATTTAATACTTAGCTTCTCAAAGCGTGATGCATGGACCAGCAGCATCAGAGCTTATTAGAGATATAGAATCTCAGGTCTCACTCCAGACCGGCTTCACCAGAATTGGCACTCAAAGAAGACTCCAGTGTTATTTCTATACATATTGAGCACTGTTTAATGGAAAGAATACCAACTTACCAGTCAGGAGATTGGTCTTCCGGTTTGTCTTTCAGGCAAATAGTAAAGACTCTAAATTCTGTGGTTTTGTTGCCTATTCTTTAAAGCAGGGATGTTTTCACCTGCTTTCTCTGGAAAGGTCAGATATGATCTGGAATAACAAAAGTAAACCCTGTCCTTGACTGTGTATTACGTATAATATGCATGGAATGCTATTTGGATATAAATGCATTTAGGTGAACCTGGAAAAACAAAACCAAACACAGAAATACACACACACACACACACACACACACACACACACACACACACACACACGCACACACTCTTCTAATTGTCAGGAGCTGTCTCATGCCCAAGCAAGAGAAAAAGAAAGAGAAAGCAGAGAAAGCAGCAAACCTCACTCCCTTGGACACTTCCTGTAACATTTATGACTTTAAAGATGTGTTTCTCCTGTTTTCCTGCCCAAGAGAAAATTACTTGCAATTCTGCGGAGCTGCCCTTTATCCAACACTGCAAGGGCATAGAGGTATAAAAAGGGTATTGAGTCTCACTGGTACATAAGACCCTGGGTTGAATCTGTAATCAAGGCATGTAATTGGTACTTATTTGCAAACACCACTGCTGTTTGGGAAAGGGTGTTATTGTAGAGGACACTTTCAAAAACGGGTCCCCAGAGGACAGACTTTTATCATCTTAGAAGTTGAGATGCTATTTTGCTTCTCATCTTTCCTTATTCAATTCACTTTCATTCTTCATTCTTTCAGGGGTTTGCATTATATATTTTCCTCTGTGGTCAAAATAGCTGCATTCCTAATTTAAAGATGTTTCATCATTAAAAATTATATTAAACTGTCGACCATCCTCAGGAAAGACTTAATTTCCACTTTCTGCTGCAGTCAGCATGGTTGAGATTCAGTCCTTCCATAAACTTGGAATCTATTTAAAGCTATTTCCATAAACCTGGAGTTATCTGATACCTTTTCATAGTCTTGCTAACCAACTAACTACCTATTTTTAAGGGCCAATAAAATTGACCTGATTTCGGCTAAAAGGGAGAAACACACTTTAAATTCTGCAGAACTAAGAAATTATAGAAACAGAGTTTATAGAGAGAAAGCAATAAAATTGCAAAGTGCAAATATTTGGGAGAGTTAGACTATTGCTGTTGGATTTTGGGAAGAAACTTGGGGGAGAGGGGTGAGCAGACATTCCCCCAGGGCAATCTTCACAGTTGATTTTAAGCCAAACCCACTGTGACTCACATCAGCACTTTTTTCTGAGGGAAAATGTTATCTTGCTCTTTGTTAAAGTAGCATGTGCTCAGTAGATGCAGATTGGTGTGCTCCTCATATCATGGGGTTTTGACCCAGTTTGCTTCTATTTTGCAAAGAATATTCGGAAAAAACTGAAAGAAAATGGGTAAAAAATTCACAATATTACCCCCCAACAATTCTCTCACTTTATCCTGTGAGTGGTTTTTTATCTTTTTATCATTTGAGCTATTCTCTGTATTTGTGAATATTTTGCATATTTGTATTCATAATACGGGTATAATTGTTATTTCTTCCTTGCCTAAAATACTTTACAAATATTTTCATTCTTTCCATATAATTTGCTATGGCAGCCATAGGGAACTAATATACCCATGAAGAGTTTTGCACCTTATCTGAATGCATTAAGCAGCCATTGACACACTTAAATTTAGAGATAGCATTGTCCTGTACAAAAGATGACCCTACGTCGAAAGTCAGGGTGGGAAGGTGACAGTACTGGAGGCAGAGGTATTTCATTCATTCATACATTTAATAATTCATTCATTTATCCATTCTCCAAATAGTTATCACATGCCAATTCACTATGCACATGGCTATGCAAGATTCTAAGCATAGAGTGGAGAACAGAATAGATTTTGCATTCATGAAACTGAGAATTTAGGGAAGAGATGACCAAGAAAGGAAGAGCAACTAAATAATCACAAATTGTGTGAATGACAAAAAGGAAAAGAAATGGTGAAGGATGAGAGTGGGATAGAGGTGGGCAGTAGGTGATTTGATTTAGGTATGGTGTTAGAGCTATCCCTGTGAAGTCCTCCCTAAAGTCCAGGAAAGAATGTACACCATCCCTGGCAAAGGGAACAGCATATGCAAAGGAGATCTGGAAGCTGGGAAGAGACTGGAAAGAACAGAGTGGCCAGGACATTGCAGGGGAGAAAAGAACCACAGAAAATGAAGTTGAGGACCAGTAAAGGCCACGTGGTGCTGTAGCTCCCGGGCCGCAATTAACAGTGTAGATTTTGTTTCATATGTAACAAGAAGCCAAGGGAGACTTCTAAACAGGAGGAAAACTTAGTGTAATTTCTGTTTTATAAGGATCTCTCTGGGCCAGGCACGGTGGCTCACGCCTGTAATCCCAGCACTTCGAGAGGCTGAGGTGGGTGGATCACCTGAGGTCAGGAGTTTGAGACCAGCCCGACCAATATGGTAAAACCCCATCTCTACTAAAAATACAAAAATTAGCCAAGCGTGGTGACACATGCCTGTAATCCCAGCTACTCAGGAGGCTGAGGCAGGAGAATTGCTTGAACCCGGGAGGCAGAGGTTGCAGTGAGCCGAGATCTTGCCACTGCACTCCCTGGGCGACAGAGCGAAACTCCAAGTCAAAAACAAACACACACACACACACACACACACACACACACACAAAGGATCCCTCTGTCTTCTGGGTACAGAATAAGAAAGGAAGAATCAAAACCCCATCTCCACTAAAAATACAAAAATTAGTCGGGAGTTGTGCCGTGCACCTGCATTCCCAACTACTTGAGAGGCTGAGGCAGGAGAATCACTTGAACCCAGAGGAGGGGTTGCAGTGAGCCAAGTTCAGGTCACTGCACTCCAGCCTGGGCGACAGAGAGAGACTAGGTCTCAAAACAAAAACAAAAATAACAACAGAAGAAAAACCTTTATTACAAATTGTGTCAGTTATATTTGGTGTCATTGTTATTCTTGGTTTGTATTTTTAAATGTTTATCTTAATTTTCCACACATGAGTGTTTAAAATTTGTGCATCATTAAATTCACCTATTTCTTTCTGATTTTCTCTAATCATTTAAAACTTAGCCATTGTCATACTTCATATGATCTAAGTCTATTTTATACTTTTCTGTGTGTGTGGATACTTCATTAATCCATTTATTGTTTGTTTTGGCATATGCTATAAGGTGTGGGTATTAATTAATTTTTACTCCTAAATTATGAGAAAGCATTTCCAACTTCATTTGTTAAATGACCATCCTTGTCCTGATCATTATGAAATCCTAATTCATCATATATTAAATTCCATATATGTCATCGATATTCTCCTTGGACTTCTATCGTGTTCCTTTGATCTATATTCTGTGTGTATGTTGAAGGGAACAGCATATCTCTACTATTTATTATTCTCTGCAAATAATTTCTGCTTGATATTTCATCAAAATAATATTTACTAGACATACTTGATCCTTATAAGAAAACAAGTCTCTTATATTTTTAGCTATTATTTAAGTGCATCCGTATTTGAAAATAGACTGTATATATTTATTTTGTAACTTTTATATTTAAGATTACAAATGTTAAACTATATGGGGATCCATCTGGTTTTCTTCCATGAAATTGTCAGTACTCAGCATAGAATAGTATACCTATTAGTGGCTCAAAAATATTTTATGAATAAGTAAGTAAATGAATACAGTTTAATCAACTACATTGACAATAACATTTCAAAATTAACCTGAGAAAGCCATCTTTATATTGTTCGGTTTGCTCATGCAGAAACAAAGATTGTTTCCCTTTTATGCAAGCCCTCTTTTATACACTTTATTTGCCAATATAGGTCACAAATACTTTGTTATTTTTAGTATACAATTATTTTTTTCTACATGATTGAAAATGAAAATTGACCTTTTGTTTTTATCATCTAACATATTACTGCTCTTTACAAAAAAGCAGTTGATTTTCCTTATTTTGTTGTCAGTCACTATAATAGACATTTACTGATTCTAGTGACATTTTAATAAAACCTGATATTCCTTTGATTTTAAGCTACACCATTAATTTAATGACAACTGAAAATATAACCACATTAAATAGCACATGATAATAAGTCCCATTTCAGTTTCATATTTTTTTAAATGAGTCCTAATATTGATGCTATTCTATAGTTTCTATACCATTGTTTGGACTGTGCCCAAATAATCTGTAAGGCATAACTTTTTTTTTTAACTGTACATTTTGTCGTACATTATGATATAGACCAAAATTTCAAAAAATTATGATAATGAATACTTTTTCCATTAGGAATGAAAAAAAGTATAATTTTTTACTCAGCAAATATTTACTGAGTTTCCACCACGGAGACACAGTTGACAAGATGTACTGAAGGATGCTGGACACTGAGCACACAGAACAGGGACATGTGAAGAGCCAGCACTGAGAACAGAGCTGCCCGTATTGTTACTTCTTTGTGAATTTAACAGAGGGGTAATTCCAGTGTCAAATTCGGTAAACATTAAGAAGAGTGTTCTTAACTCTGGCTGCATATGAGAATCATACCTGGGCTCCTCTCAGCGATTCAGACTTCTTTATTCTGAGAATGGCTCACATGCAGGCACATTAGCCAGCTCCCCGGTTGTCTGAAAATGCAATCAGAGCTGAGTTCTTTCTTCATGATGGATATACATAAGAAATACCTGCAACCTAGGGATGCTCGGGGCCTTCAGAGGGCTCAAGTGCACATGAAAACCTTAAAGTCATTACAGAATTGCTAGTCCACATCTAGCCTCACAGTTAAATTTAATAGTTCATTTGTGAAATTAACAGACGAATTTGTCTCGCCTGCTAGATTCTAAGCACCATGCAGGTAAGGATGATGTCTACATTTACTCTGTTACTACCCCAGGGGCTACAGTTTCCCAAACATTATTGACTATGTTTTTTGGCTGTTGTTGTTTGATTTTGTTTTTGTTTGTTTGTTGTTTAGTATCTCATGTAGCAGTAGTTCTAAGGAACACATTTCTGAAAAAGGCTGCCGTAAAATAAGTACTTTCCAGGATTATCCTCCCATGTGTATTTCCCAGGGTTTTCTTACTAAATGGAGGTGCTCAGCTTCTCAAAGAGGCAAGCAAACAACAAGAAGGGAAACTACACCCGTATTCAGAATTGAGCTTTCTCAAGCAGCTGATTAATATGTAATTGCCAGTAGACAATTTTCAGTTCTTAAAAGTATTGACTACATTTTCATTTCATGAACAATGAAAAGCATCTGTTATATGTCAGGCACAGCTCTAGATATTATACAAGGTATGTAATATAAATCAATACACA
Source organism: Homo sapiens (assembly GCF_000001405.40). Lineage (NCBI taxonomy): Eukaryota > Metazoa > Chordata > Mammalia > Primates > Hominidae > Homo > Homo sapiens. Next base: position 64,758,590 of record NC_000016.10, read on the forward strand.
TTTACTGAGTGCTGATCACATGTAAGAAGGGGGTGCTAGCAAGCAGTGCGTGGTTGGTCCTGATCTGGAGCTTGCAAGCCTGTGAGGAGCTCACATTCATATCAAAAAGACAAAATCCAGTACTTGGCATGGTTGACCATTCCCTCTCCATTCAATCTCTTCCCTGCCTTTCATTATCTTAAATTTCTTACCACTATGATATACTTTTTCGAGATACTACTCTTTAAAATGGTATTCCCAGGCTCTATTTTCTTGCTTTGCTTCATTTTCTCTCCTTACACCATCCTGTATTTTCTCTCACTAGATAATTGTATCCATTCCTCCGACTAGCACATGTATGCTAATGATGCTAAAATCCTTTTTTATTATATGCTTAAGAAGTCCTTATAGTTCATTAACTCACGTCAAGTATTTACTGAGTTTTCCTGTTGCCTACCAATAGGGCTGAAACATAGCAGATTCTTAATGTTTTGTAAGAAGTTAGTTTATTAAATTATTAAATGCTCACTTCCTGAATTATTATTATTATTTTTATTATTATTATTTTAGACAGAGTCTTGCTCTGTCACCCCCAGGCTGGAGTGCAATGCTGTGATCTTGGCTCACTGCAACCTCCACCTCCCGGGTTGAAGGGATTCTCCTGCCTTAGTCTCCTGAGTAGCTGGTATTATACAAGTGCCCCACCTTGCCTGGAAATTTTTTTGTGTGTGTATTTTTAGTAGAGATGAGGTTTCACCATCTCTATGGTTTCACCATTTGGCCAGGCTGGTCTCAAACTCCTGACCTCCTCACCTCGGCCTCCCGAAGTGCTGGGATTACAGGCATGAGCCACCTTTGCCTGGCCTACTGAAATATTCCTAATGCCAGAGTTGTGTTCTAGATTTATGAAGAGTGGGTTTTGCTATTCTTCAAAATGGTAGGAGACGGGGTTATCAACACAAAATTGGAATAGATATTATGACTTTAAAGCATAGGTTGTCGAAATCCATTGATGTTGTTGCAAATGACAGAATTTTCATTTCTTTAAGGCTGGATAGTATTTCACTGTGTATATATGCCACATTTTCTTTATCTAGTCATCCACTTTTGGATACTTGGCTTGATTTCATATCTTGGCTATTGTGGATAATGCCACAGTCAACATTGGAGTGCAGATGTCCCTTCGACCTACTGATTTTAGGTCCTTTGGATATATACAAAGAAGTGGAATTTCTGTATCATGTAGTAGTGATATTTTTAGTATTTTGGTTTTCTTTTTTATGTTTATTTTTAGAAAAAAAGATCTTGCTCTGTTGCCCAGGCTGGAGTGTGGTGGCACTATCCTAGCTCACTGCAGCCTCAGACCTCAGACTCCTGGGCCCAGGTGATCCTCCCACCTCAGCCTCCTGACTAGCTGAGACCACAGGTGCAAGTCAATACACCTGGCTAATTTTTGTATTTTTGTAGAGATAGTGTCTTGCTATCTTGCCCAAACTGGTCTTGAGCTCCTGGGCTCAAGCAATCCTCCCACCCTGGCCTCCCAGTGCTGCTGGGATCACTGGCATGAGCCACCATGCTCAGCCCTATTTTTAGTTTATTAAGGAACTTGCATAATAATTTTCCATAATGGTTGTACTAACTTACATTCCCATCGACAGTATACAAGAGTTATGTTTTCTCCAGTATTTGTTTAAATAGTCCATGTAAAGAAGTAGATGAACAATGTATGATTGTATTAAAATGTGATATATATATATATATAGAGAGAGAGAGAGAGAGAGAGAGAGAGACCATAGAATGTCACTCAGTCGCAAAAAAGAATGAAATCATATCTTTTGCAGAAACATAAATGGAACTGGAGGCCACTAACCTAAGTGAAATGCCTCAGAAAAAGAAAGTAAAAAATTGCATGTTCTCACTTATAAGTGAGAGCTAAACAATGGCTACACATGGACACACAGAGTAGAATAATAAACATTGGAGAGTTCAATAGGTGGGAGGGTAGGAGAGAGGTGAGAGATGAATTACCACCTATTGGGTACAATATACACTATTTGAGTGGTGGTACATGGAAAGCCCAGATTTCACCACTACACAATGTATCCATGTAACGTAACTGCACCTGTACCCTGTAAATCTATTTTATAAAAAGAAAAAAAAAGAGAATGTTTGTATAGCAAACATCACTCTGAAAAGAAGTTCAGGTTTCTTACTGTCCAGTATAATAATGATAATGTCTACCTTCAGCGTAAAAAGCAGGCATGCACAATGCCAATTATAAAAGTCTTAGGTTCCCTATACTTAGTGTTAACCTCCTATAATGCAGGTTATTGCATGTTCAGGAGTCATCCTGAGGGGACTGAGGATATGGGAACTGGAAATAAAAATGTTACTCTATCTAGGGCTATTGCTGTAATAGTCTTTTGTCTCTGAACCAGGAGATGCATGTCTTTTGCTAGCATTCATGAGGCTATGGCAGGATAACTTGCAGGATAAAATCTATCCCATTTAATTTCTTAGCATCTAGATTTCTCCCAACATCTGGAAATGCCAGGAGAAAGTGCAGTAGAGAGAACATCACATCGGGAGTCAGTATAGCTGGCTGTGATAGTTACTAGCATTGTGGCCTTGGACAAGTCACATAAGCTTGCTAAACTTCAGTTACTTTACCATGAATGTGAGGACAATAAAACATGCCCTACCTGGCAAGAGAAGGAAGAAGAAGGAGAGGGAGAGGGTGACAGAGAGGGAGAAAGACAAGGAGAAGGAAGAGGAAGTGAAGGAGGAAGATGAAGTGGAAGAGGAGGAGGGGGAGAAGGAGGAGGAGAAGGAAGTGAAAAGAAAGAAGAAGAAAAAGGAGGAGGAAGAGGAGGAGATGAAATTTAAATGCACGTTTGAGAAGAGATTTTGAAAAGCATTGGAAACTCACCCACTTCAATATGCACCCGTATCTCCATCCACAAAAAAATTAGAAAATTTATGAGTCTTTCCCTGTAGTTCAGTTTCATTTGGCTGATTTCTTCTGGAGGTGGGGAAAATAAAGAGCCTGAAATAACCAGACCCTCCCTTCCCCAACCCTAAGGTCCCATCAGGCAGACTCATTTTCTGGAGAGGAGAGAGTGAGGGGCTCCCTATCCAGGAATGAGGAAATCTCTAGTCAGGATCAGCAGGCAAATTTTATTTCCAGAGTTTATTTCCCATTAACAAGACTTGACAGCAGTTCTATTTTTTTTCACAGTAAATATGTGCCCCTGTTAATTAATATCATTTTCAATAACAACAAATATTAATCAAAACTTCTCTATAGCCAGTAGTACCCCAAATACTCAAACACACAGGCTCTATTAAGCAAATGTATGGACTGGGTGTGGTGGCTCATGCCAGTACTCACATCACTTTGTGCGGCTGAGGCAGGAGGATCATTTTAGCCCAGGATTTTGAGACCTCATCTCTACAAAAAAAAGGTTTTCTTAGTTAGCCAGGCATGTTGGCACAACCTGTAATCCCAGCTACTCGAGATGCTGAGGTGAGAGAGTGACTCAAGCCTGGGAGACTGAGGATCCAGGGAGCCATCACCTCCCCAATGCACTCTAGCCTAGGCAACAGAAGAGGACCCTGTCTCAAAAAAGAAATAAAATAAAAATTTATGCACAACTTTTATTTTTTCCATCAAGATTTCACATATTGCTACCCAATTACATTCAAAACCCCTCTTCAAACCAACCCTCCCTCAAAGTGGAACAAGCCAGACCTCGAATGGCTTCCCTTCTGTTGTAGTTTCCTTCAGTTATATCTGGCTTTCTTATCATCATATCATTAACATAATGAGGGAGGGTGGTTGTTGCCAGGGCAACCAGCTGGGGTTAGTTTTTGTTGAAAATTCAGTGCCTCATGGATAAACACCAACCATGTTGAGCTTTAGTCTCATCTTTTGCTTATGGTGGCAAGTATGCAAATACTAATACGTTCTCATCTTCTCTTTCTTCTTGCTTTCTCCACCCTCCCTTCCTCTTGTCTTGCTGTTGCTTTTCCTCCTACTACTCCTGGAAATCCTTTCTTGTTTGTGTGTTTGATTGTTATTACTCCCCAAGCTCTCTTTGAACTGTACACTTAATAACAACTCATTTTGTATCTAACCAACACTGATTGCATTGCCTCCTTCAACACAATGAATTATACTTTAGAGAAACACAATTTGGATTGCCTACCTAATAGCTTTCATAATTTTATTTCCATCAACTCTTATTCTTACTTTAATGATTTTAGCCTTGTTCTGAAGACATTTATAAAATAACAGGGTTTGTGCTGCTTTATGTTGTTCTAATATGTATTTAAAGAAGTATGTTAAAATTAAGACTCAATCATCCAGTGCCCCCTAAATTTATCCTGTATGTGTCTGTAGGTACTCTTGAAGCATTGCCTGCTTTAAATGCATGTGTTTTCTTCCTCACTTTTAAGAGCTTTCTGTATATAAAAAAATTCCTCTTCTCATGTTATCTCTTTTTTTCACACATTAATGAAGTTGGAGAATTTCCTTATATTTCTTTAGGGAACAGAAATTCTAGATCTTATACAAGCCACTCGAGTCATAATGAACTACCTATAGGTCCCTGAACACAAAAGACTACTTCATTCGATAGGGTCCTTATTTATTCTCTTCCCTCTTCCTGTTAATACCCTTCCCAATTTTGTACTTTATTTGAAAATTTTCAAAATTCCTCTAAGATAATGTCACCTTTTTTGGGGAGCCATCCAGTCTCTGGTTTGGTTTGACGACTCACTTTTTGCTCTCAGTGCACCTTAAGGTACACGTAAGATAGTAATTATGAAATCATATTTTTATGTGTGTAAATACAACATCAGATGAATTCATCAAAGAGTGCCTGAGGAATCCAAAGCTTGCCTTAAATTATCTCTGTGTCCTCAGGGCCTATTATCACATCTGGCACAGAGAAGTGGCCCAACAAATGGATGGAAACTGAATCAGTTGCATTTTCTTTCTCATCCTTACAGTGTCTTCCCAGATGTAAATTGAAGGCATCACCCTTAATTGTTTTAAAACCAATTCCAAGCAGTCGTCGGATTCCCAACAGCACAATTTCTCCTGCCTCCTCTTTCTATTTTCATGAGTCCTTAACATTTAACTCTTTGGACTTGGATACTGGGAGGATTTATATATTGAAGAAAGTGGAAGACCCACAGAAATGTGTCTGGTATTTATGTTTTGTTTTCCAAACAGATGGCAAATTGGGAAGATCCACATTCGATATACTAGGAAACACTTTCTCCTCATTCAGGACTTAGGTTTCCCAATGTTCACTATATATTTGTGCTGTCAAGAGGAAAGAAACCCATCTTCGATTTCTCATGGATTTACTGACAGTGAAAGTGGGATGCCCTGAGGAGGAGTAGGGTGGAGCTGTGAGCTTCCCATGGGACCCTCCAGGGAGTGAGTTTCTGGCATCAGAAGTTTGAGTTGCCGAAGGTCTCCATTGGCTCTGATCATTGTAATTATCTGCCAAAACAGCCAGCTTAGAGTAGTCTCTTCCCATCTTCTGCTTGCAACAATCTCTATACCATACATCTGGACAAGCACCACCAATTACCTTAACCATTTTAGCCTTTCTTAGACACACACTAGCAACACAGGCACTATAGCCTGAACCACCATTCCCTGCCCTCTCTCCACTTGAAACTCATTGGTCCCAAACTCTTCGCTTAATCCAACAGCAGGAGTACAACCCTGGGATTATGTGCTTGCACCTGACTACAGAGTGAGACATCCTGAATGCAAACCCCAACTCGGCCACTTTTAGCTGTTATTTAACTTCTCCATGACTTGGTTTCCATATGCCTCAAATAGAGCAACAATATCTAATTCAAGATACCTATTTGAAAAGTAAAATATGCTAGTTCATAAATCATGCTCAGTTACAATTTTTATATATTCTATCTTCATTTATGTTGGTTAAAAAAAAGATAAGGAAAATCTTGGCATTTATTCTGTTAGCTACTTTCAGGATTATGGGAGCCTCATGATATGAGGCCACTAAGAGGTAAATTTATTTTTAATCTACAAAAGAAGAAATTGAGGCTCAGAGAAGTTAAGAATTTTGCCAGAGTTCATACTTTTAGTGAAAACCACAAGTCATGATTAAAACCCAGGTTTCTCTGAATTCAAAGCTGTGTTAGTTATTTTCTTCACTCTTATCAAGCTATGTGTGTGACTCTCTTGCAGCATTCTTTATATGGCTCTGAAGTTGTCTATCTGTTTGTATAGCAAGACCTTGAGTCCTGGAGGACAGGGATCCCTGATCACCTTCCTCAGCTTAGTCTTTCCCAGTGCCTGACATGGAAGGAGTAGGGGTACCATAAATATCAATCAAAAAGTAAGGCAATAAATTCTTCTTCTCACACACTCCTCCATGATGTATTGCAGTGCTTTCTGTTTTCAGGAGTTTCCCCAGACTGATTCCCAAGCCTTCTAATGGAAAACACTACTTTCCCAGTGAGAAATTGGGAAGTGAGCTAAACAAAAGTAAAACTATCATCAAACATGCTGACTTTTCCTTTGGCTTCGATATGACCTGCCCTTTCCAAAGGGAAGATCAGCGGTGGGGACTGAGCTCACTTGAAACAGGTGTTCCCACCAGGCAGACCTGTGTTGAAACTCTGTCTTGCCATTTACAGGCTCTATGCTCCTGGGTGAGCCACTGACCTCCCATGAGTCACACTTTTCTCATCTGTAACATGTGATATTAATCCTCATATCAGCTTAATTATGAACATGAGTGATTCCAGCACACACCAGGCACTGCATAATATCTGTGCCTTCAATGACACTTTCTCTACCACTGTATCACCAATCCCATAAATTGGTTTAAGCTGGGTGAGTTATCACAATTGAATGAGTGCCCCAAGATGAGCATTATTACTCGGTACAGGCCTCCAACATAGGCCCTGCCAATAACCCCTGGGACCACCTCCCACTCCCCAGGGTGCATTCCACTGACCCATGCATTCCACAATGCCAAGTCCCCTTCATGCCCCACTGTTTTGTGGGTTGCAGTCATAACCTAAAAAGAGAGACTGGGGGCTACATGAGCCATTCACATTTTTCCTAAAGGAAAATGTGCCTTGTTGATAAGATTGAACTAACATTTGCTCACCATTTAAGGTATACCTAGCCCTCTATTAATGTTTTACACTGACATGAACTCATTTAATGCTCATAATGACCACAGCAGTTGGGATTATTATCTCCATTTTATAAATGAGACCCTCAAGATTCAGGGAAGTTCTGAATTTGTGCATTTATTTTATACATATTTACTGAAGACCTTTCATACAGCCAGGAGTCATATAACTTGAAGGGACCATAAAGATCAACTGGTAAGGAAGCATGTTACTTGAGTTCACAAGCTAGTCCTGTAACCCTGAGCAATGTGCTCCAAGTCACTGTACCTCTGTTTTTTCACCTCTACAGTGGAGGTTGAGTTTGGATGAGATTTCAGTACATGAGATGCAGAATGAAAAACATTTAGCAAGTGTCTGGCATACAGAAATGTTCAAACTGTGTTCGCTATAGTTAAGAAGAGACGGTAAGAAACAGTACAGAAATTCAAAGATTGAAAACAAGTAAACAAATGGTTGGTTTATGTTTCACAGTGGAGAAATTAACAAGAGTCAGTGCATATGTAAAGGTGGAGATAATCAACCCTGCTAGAGAAAAGGAAGACTCCAAGTTCACGTGACTCCTAGGTTAGCAGATGTGCAAATTTACTAGAGTCCTAGGCCAATATTCAAGGACACATGCTGCCTTCAAGATGGACACGACTTTCCTCACAGCTCTACTGTTAAGGAGTGCTCAGTACATGTCGCTAATAACTCTCTGCAGAATTAAATAAAAATACACTCTGGGTCCAAAATTGTCTCCGGCAAGGATGTAGAAATGCATTCAATAAATGCATAATGATTCCATAAAAGCTCTGGAAACCGCTTCCTAGAGAAAAAAATTTAAAAGTGCATGCATATTAGTACATTTCACAGGTAATGAGGGAGACAGCCATTTCAGGCCCACAGGTCCAGAAAAACCTAGCTAGTCTGAAAATCTCACCCAAAATTATATAAAGAGAGGGAAGGCAAATCTAATCGTCAGAAATATCATCTCAAAACTCTGAATTCATTCATCAGTTGTTTTTCTCCTCAAATAATGTTCTTTTGGAGGGTATTTTCAAGGATAGTTTCTCCTGAGAAAATATCACTGACTGACATTTAGAAATAATACAATTTCCAGTTATGAGCCATCCTTTGCATTGTGTCCGTTTTAACAAGAAAGAGAAAGAGAGGTGATAGGAAAGGGAGTGATAAGTGGTGTTCATATCCAAGGGGGAGAGGACACAGGAGAGTTTACTTTTGAAAAATAAAATGGGCTTACCCATTGTACGAGGACATTCTTGGATTGCTATAAATAGCTTTGTACCTTTAGCTACAAGGAAATGCTAGAGACTGGGTGATTTATAAAGCAAAGAGTTCTAATTGGTTCATGGTTCTGCAGGCTTTACAGGAAGCATGGTGCTGGCATCTATTCAGCTTCTAGAGAGGTCTCGGAAAGCTTACCATCATGGTGGAAGGAAAAGGGGGAGCAGGCATGTGATGTTGCAAAAGCAGGAGCAACAGAGAGAGAGGTGCCACACACCTTTAAATAACCAGATTTCATGAGAACTCACTCACAGTGATATCATGAGGACAGCATCAAGGGGACAGCGTTAAGCCCTTCATGAGAAATTCACCCCCATGAGCCAGTCACCTCCCACCAGGCCCCACCAACAATACTAGAGATTATAATTCAACATGTGATTTGGGTGGGGACACATATAAAAACTATATTCATTTATTACTGATAGGAAGAGATGCTTACAACATGACGACACAGTGCTGAGTACCTTAGGGAGTTTTTTCACTAACTCCTCACCCCAGGTAAGAGGGATATAATTTTCCGTATTTTTGAAATGTGGAAACTGGGGCAAAAAGTAACGTACCCAAGATCACTTGGAAAGTCAGAATTCAGATCCAGGACTCTAGATTTTTTAAACCACATTTAAAATCATGATAGTGTTTCTAGTTTACTCAGATTCCGTTGAAAGGTGTCAGGGCTAAGGATAGACAAGCACATACCTTAGAAAGCCCGCAAAGAAAGTGTCAGATCCACAGGCTCCTCATGTGACATAAACCTTGTTGCAATTTAGTATTTGCTGGTGTCTAGGTTCTAATGTGTCTTCCTCTCACTTATAGGAAAAGGTTGAGTAGGGGGATGGAGGGTAATGTTTGATTTGGTTTGGATGGAAGTTTTCTCTTCTCTGTGTTGAACAGAAAATTGCCCCTGTCCTGGCATGCAAAGTGCGATTCTGTTATTGTCAGATGTCTTAAGTGGGTTTATATTATTGTTCTCTGTTAATCATTTTCAGAGAGGAAAAAGGGCATGGAACTTAAAGTCTGAGAACTTGACATAGAAGTAGAATACATAAAAGGAATGATGACATTTAACCCACAGGCCTGTTCTGGGAATAGGACACACACAGGTTTGTGTTTGCAAAGATTCTGGGAGGGCCCCTGGCACATAGTAAGCACTTCATGAATTCTCATCTCCTTCTTCTGTGTCAAAGCAGGATAAGGACTTTTAGAGGAATTAGTAAAGAATAAAAATGAAATAGACTGTGCTGTTGAGCACTGTATTCAATTTTAAAAAAAAAATCTTGTTAGGAAATGAATGGAAAATGTTTCTGCATTTGCAGTAGAGCAGAAAACAAGGCAATTATGGATATCAAGAATTGACTGTAATCACAAGTCACAGATAAAGAATTACAGCATTGGCTCCTAAAGAGAAGGGAGGAGATGAAGTTTGGATTAGAGTTCAAATAGATTTGAGGAGATGAGAGAGAACATGACAGCTATTCTGGGGTTACTTTAGTAGGAAAACTTAATATGGAATAGTGGAAAGAACATAGACTTGACCTAAAGTTTCCTGAAACAGACTGTTGAAAAAGTTAATAAATAATTTCAGAAAATACTTTATTGTCAATGTCATCATCAGCATAAACCATCTATTGATTTTTTCCCAAATACATATGACTGTTTAAATAACAATTAGCAAGTGATTACTATGTGTTAGACACTACTAACGTGTTATTCTATTTAATCTTCTTAGGAACCTTTTACGGTAGATATTATTCAGATGTTATGGTTCAACAAGATGAATCTCAGAATTGAGTGCTCCTCTTCAAGTATAATTAATTTAAACATGGAAGTATAGAGATTACTTGATATACATTGAAAAGCTAATATATGCTGGTTATTTTGCACATATTGACTCATTTGATCATCAAAACGACACATGACTTAAATGTTATCACATCCTTTTTACACATTTGGAAATGGAGTTTCACAGAGTTACAGAAATTTGGCCCAAATCACATGGTTATAAATGGCAGAGGCACAAATGGAGTCCTAGTTTGTTTGATTCTGCCAAGACACAACCCAAGAAACCTGGTACATCTCTCGTGATCATAACATATATTCTTAGTTTAAGACTCTCAGTCTCAGAGGAAAATCAATGATGAAAGTCATGCCTAATGGCCCAGTCCTTTTTCTTTCAACAAAGTGTGAATGTATTCATGTATGGTCATTTGTTGTACGTAATCATCATCAACCTGCCAGATAAACAGCTAATTATTTTGGTTGTGTTATAAGCAAATAAACTTGCCCATGTGCAATTTGACAAATAGGGCCCAATCAACAGAGAAACAATTGTTCCAAGCTTGCAAACTCCCAGGAGTCTAATGAGCAATGGCTTACTGAATGAGCAATTGAAAAACAAAGAAATTACATTAGTGTGGTTTCTTTAGGAATAAAGAGCAATCCATTGGCTTTCATGCCTTTGTAATAAAGAAATTTGTTAGCTGTGGATTGGGCAGTAGAAAAAGCACACAGAGAATGCATATACCTTTAACCTGACTGTTTCTGACACTACAACACTTCCGGGGCACATCCTCTCTCATTGCCCTCTGGGACTACATAAATACCAGAACTTTTACCCTCAACCTGCTTGCCTAGCCAAAGATAACACCCTCAGCACCTAGCCAAAGGCTTTCTTTGGGAGCAGATGCTTGTGTTTTTGAATGACTGGAGCACTCAGGTTATGTTTGAGCCTGTTAAAATAGGATGTATGGTGCTTAATGTGTGAAGAGATGAGCTTTGGTCTTGATCACATCTGAATTTGAACCCAGTCTCTCTTACTTACTAGGCATGTGCTTTTGGACAAGTGGCTCAACTCTTTTCAGCAAATGTGTCTCATCTATGGATAGATAGAGTAAAATTTTTTCATTTCTCTCAAGATCTTTGAAAGTATTAACTAAAATAAAAGTAAAAATTCAAACTAGAACACTGTGTTAGGCCATTCATGCATTGCTATTGATGGCAGCAATGGGCCACCTGAAATGGCCACTGCCAAGACACTGGCTGCAGCAGGGGAGGTGTGGCTGGGCCGGACACTCCATGGAACCAGCAGGAGCCAGAAACAAGTGGGAGTCCCACCCTCCTGGCCACAGCTGCAGCCTCCCAGTTGTGGCTGTGGACCCAGGACTCCCTGTGCTCCTGTGGGCTGGGAGGAGACTGTAGCCCCGCTCTCCTGAGTGCAGCTGCAGCCACCCAAACTGCACCTGTGGACCCAGGCATCTCTGCACTCTCAGGGGCCTGGGAAGGCCCCCCTAACCCCTGCAAGCTCAGACGTGTCTGTTCCCGCTGCCTGGTCTCTTCCTGCTCCTGCATCTGTTCCAATCTCAGAGTGAGGTTGGGGCCAAGCCTGGGTGTTGTAGCAGCACGGTGAGGTATGTGCATGTTTTGGGAAGCGCTGACACACCAGCCCCCTGCTGCCTCAGCCCCCTCCAGACTTTGAGCACCAACAAGCATGGGAGGAAGGTCAAGGTGGTGCTGAGGGCAGCTTGGTGCTGGCCTGCAGCTGCCTAGCAGCATGAACAGCCTGGGTGCCATGAATAGCAGCAGGAGGCAGACAGGCTCCTGGGTAGAAGAGGGTGGGTCACCACTGAAGCTCCACCTTCAAGCTGGGGAAGGCTTGAAGCCTGGGGGCCCGGCTGCCAGTCCTGCAGACTGGAGTGGGAACTTGTGGTGCATTTTCCAGGACCACCTATGGCCTCCCATGGACCAATTGGTGCCCACTTCCTCCCCTCTGAGGCCCATGAAAGCCCTGGACTCAGCCAGACTTGAGGAGACAATGACTAGGTATGGACAGCAACTACCTACCCCCGTGTCTCGTCTCTACTTAGAGCTGAACACTAGACAAGACAACCTGCTTGTGGGGAGAAGCTACCCAATGCAGGCCTCCTCTGAACCCTTCTGTCACTCAATAAAGCTCCTTTTTGCCTTGCTCACCTTCCACTTGTCTGTGGACCTCATTCTTCATAGACACAGGACAAAAATCCAGGACCCACAAAATGGTGGGGCTAAAAGATCTGTAACACAAACAGGGCTGAAACATCCCCCTGGCTCACCACATTGCAGAAGGACAGAAGAAAGAAAGAGAGAATAGCTGCAGCCCTTCGGGGAGTCCACACCTAGGAGCTCCCTAAGCTAGGGCTATGACACCCTCTTTGGGACTCTGGTTCCTGGCATCTCTAAGCTTCTGAATGTCACTGCATTCCCTGGTGCCAGCCATGGAAGCTGCTTGTGGTGTGCTTGGTCCAGCCACAGGCTGACAGGAAGCCTCGCAGGGAGCTGGCACCTGTGCCGGCACCTGAAACTGCTTGCCCTACTGAAGTCAGCGTGCCTGTCTGTACGCAGTGTCTGGACGCCATGCTCAGTCATTCACACGCCCCTCACCGCTCCACTCGCTCTTGGCAGGCATGGGATCTAGGCCGGTAGGATAAGCCGAGTGCTGCCTGCCACACCGAGTGGGTGGAACGAGCCCAGCAAGTCTGAGCAAAACTCAAGCAAAGGCATCGCTGGCAACAGAGGTTTCCAGCCAGAAAAGCATCAACCCAAGAATCCCATGACACTATAGAGAAATACCTGAGGCTGTATAATTTGTAAGAAATGAATTTTAATTGGCTCACAGTGCAGCAGGCTGTACAAGCATGGTGCCTGCATCTGCCTGGCTTCTGAGGAGGCCTCAGGGAGCTTTTACCCATACTGGAAAGTGAAGCAGGAAGGGGTACATCATATGGCAAAAGCAGGAGGAAGAGGCAGCGGGAGGGATATGCCACACACTTAAACAACCAGATCTTGTGAGTATTCACTCACTATTGCAAGGACAGTACCAAACCATGAGGGATCCACCTCCGTGACCCAAGCACCTCCTACCACGCTCTACCTCCAACATTGGAGCTTACATTTTAGCATTAGGTTTGCAGGGGGAGAAATATCCAAACTATATCAAACACCATGCTGATAATTTGGGTGTGTGTATATACATGTGTGTGTGCATGTATGTGTGTATGTGCATGTACTTGTGTGTGTGTGTGTGTGTGTGTGTATGTATGTACGTGTTTGTGTGTATGCCTGATGTTGATATTTAGGGAAGACAAATCAAGTTGATTGGCAATGAGAAGTATGTCCCAGCAAAGTCACATCCCAATCTCGGCTATGTTTATCCATTTTGTAATTTCCCTGAAATTTTTACAAGATGAGGAACTAGGGAAGCAGGATCAACCACAGAGCAGAGTAAATACAGCTAAACGGCTTTGAACAGATTCGGCTTATGCTCTTGTAAGTAGCTTATTCACTCCAGTTTTAGGAAAACAGGAAGTAATAAGATTAAAGTTCCAAAGCTCAAATGAAAACATAATGTCAAATCTGGTCCAAGTAGGATTTAGGTTCAGAAAAGAGATTGAAATACTCCATAAAATTAAAAGAAAATGAATAAGCTTATAATAAGTCTGAGGTACACAGTCTCCTTATATTTTGTAAATTCTTAGTGGAGCACTACATGGAAAATAATAAACTGAGAGGGTTTATTTAGGAAGCCCTGTGCTGAGCAGAAGATATGGGCCAGGCATTTTCAGGATATGTACACTAAAGTGTCATGCACAGTATCTGCCATTAGGGACTCAGTAAGGAATAGAGCAGTGGCTTGCAAACTTTTTGATCATAGTGCACTCAGTAGGGCCAAAAAACCTCTAGACCTGCATATTTATCTCATTCTCATTTGGAAGTATTCAATTATACCACAGAATTGGAGAGAAATGTCCATACGTTGCTCATTATTTGTTTCCTCAGATACTTTACATATACATAACTACAAAACAAAGTAATTCAAACTTTCAAATGAACAATTACCTTTATCAATTGTGTAACACAAGTTATTTAAGTGGTAAAATTTCAGATGGAGTCTCTTACCAATCAAAAACTAGTGTATAAGCACATTTGGACTAATTATTGACATCTGTTACAGAAATGGGTATAGGTACTATTATATTTAAACATATTTAAGCTGCAGTTTATACTAATATTAAAGTTCAATAATAAGAATGTTTTAAAAATATACATTACTCTCCCTCTAAGGACAATTGAAACAGCACACAGTAAACTAAATTGCTAATGAGGAAATTAAACTAATAGTGATTTGCAACATAAAGTAAAACTGGCATAAATTCCTCCACCAGTTCAAGGCAAAACTGGGGTTACGTCAGAGATGAATTTTTTTTCAAGTTATGAAATTCTCAAAATCTACTTGTAGGTGTGCACATTAGGAGGTGTAAAACTTTCAAAGAATTACATGAGTCAAACTTCTCAGAAAATTACTGACTAGTCCTCAGGGAATTCTAACTTTTATGAGGCATTCTTACTTTTAGAAGCCATTATGAACACACTGAGTGGATTACTAGCAAATAACATTCAGCTGTCTATTTACAATAAAAACAAAATAAAGCACAGATCATTTATCAGCACGTTAGGTGCATGTACTCATAGACGCAGGACAATAAAAATAAATAATAGCTTATACTTACCACTGAGTATGCGCTACACACTGTTCTAAGTGCTTTGCAGGCATTTATTTATTTTAAAATTATATTTTATTGTGGTAAGAAAGTTAAGCATGAGACCTACCCTTTAACAAAATTTTAAGTGTGTAGTACATTGTTGTTAGTAATAGGCACAATTTTGTACAGCAGACCTTTATAAGTTATTCATCTTTCTTAACTGAAAACGTATGCCCTTGATTAGTAACTCTTCATTCCAGGCTCCGGCAGCCACTTCTCTCCAGGCCCTGGCAGCCATCATTCCACTCTTTTATCCTATAAATCTGACTATTTCAGATAACTCTTTTAAGTGGAACCATGCAGTATTTTTCCTTCTGTAACTGACTTATTTCACTTAGCATAATTGTCCTCAAAGTTTATTCAAGTTGCCACATATTGCAGAATTTCCTTCTTTTTAAAGTCTGAATAATATCCCATTACATGTATATAACACAATTCTTTATTCATTCATCTTTCTATGAAAATTTAAGTTGTTTCCACATCTTTGTTATTGTGAATAGTGATGCAATGAATACAAGAGGGCTAATAACTATTGGAGATCTTGATTTTAATTTGTTTGGGTAAATACTCAGAAGTAGGATTGTGGGATCATACGGTAACTCAATTTTTAATTGTTTTAGGAACCTCCATACTGTTTTCCATAGAGGTTACACTATTTTGCATTCCTACTAATGGAAAAGGGTTGCAATTTCTCCACATCCTTGCCAATGCTTGTTCTCTTTTATCTTTGCTATCCTAACAGTTGTGAGTTGATATCATTGTGGTTTCGATTTTCATTTTCCTCATGATTTGTTACATTGAGCATCTTTTTGATACCTGTTGCCAATTAGGCTGTGTTCTTTAGAGAAGAATTGTGTATTCAAATTATGAGCTCGTTTTAAAAATTCAGATTATTCGTTATTTTGCTGTTGAGTGGTAGGAGTATCTTACGTATTTGAAAATTATCCCCTTGACAAATATATGTTTTGAAAATATTTTCTCACACTCCATAGGTTATCTTTTCACTCTCAAATGTTTCATTAGCTTTGCAGAAGCTTTTTTGTTTGATGTCATCACAATGATTATTTTTGCTTTTTTTTTATTATGCTTTTGGTGTCAGATCAATAAAAATGATTGCCTAGGCCAATGCCATAAACCTTTTCTCCTGTGTTTTCTTCTAGGAGTTTTACAATTTTAGGTTTTATATGTAAACATTTAATCCATTTTGAGTTGATTTTTGTGTACAGCCTAGTAGTTCAATTTCATTCTTTTGTGTATGTATATCCAATTTTTCCAAAACCATTTATTGAAGATACCATTCTTTCCCTATTGTGTATTTGTGACACCCTTATCTAAGGTCAGTTGACTATACATACATGCATTTATTTTTGGGCTCTCTCTTTGGTTCCATTCATCTATATGTCTGTTTTATACCATTACAATACTGTCTTAAATACTACAGCTTTGTAATATATTTTGAAATCAGGAAGGGTGATCTCTAGCTTTGTTTTTTCTCAAGATGGATAGGAAGAATCAATATCGTGAAAATGGCCATACTGCCCAAGGTAATTTATAGATTCAATGCCATCCCCATTAAGCTACCAATGACTTTCTTCACAGAATTGGAAAAAACTACTTTAAAGTTCATATGGAACCAAAAAAGAGCCTGCATTGCCAAGTCAATCCCAAGCCAAAAGAACAAAGCTGGAGGCATCATGCTACCTGACTTCAGACTATACTACAAGGCTACAGTAACCAAAACAGCATGGTACTGGTACCAAAACAGAGATATAGACCAATGGAACAGAACAGAGCCCTCAGAAATAATACCACACATCTACAACCATCTGATCTTTGACAAACCTGACAAAAACAAGAAATGGGGAAATGATTCCCTATTTAATAAATGGTGCTGGGAAAACTGGCTAGTCATATGTAGAAAGCTGAAACTGGATCCCTTCCTTACACCTTATACAAAAATTAATTCAAGATGGATTAAAGACTTAAATGTTATACCTAAAGCCATAAAAACCCTAGAAGAAAACCTAGGCAATACCATTCAGGACATAGGCATGGGCAAAGACTTCATGTCTAAAACACCAAAAACAGTGGCAACAAAAGCCAAAATTGACAAATGGGATATAATTAAACTCAACAGCTTCTGCACAGCAAAAGAAACTACCATCAGAGTGAACAGGCAGCCTACAGAATGGGAGAAAATTTTTGCAATCTACTCATCTGACAAAGGGCTAATATCCAGAATCTACAAAGAACTCAAACAAATTTACAAGAAAAAAACAAACAATGCCATCAGAAAGTGAGAAAGGATATGAACAGACACTTCTCAAAAGAAGACATTTATGCAGCCAAAAAACACATGAAAAAATGCTCATCATCACTGGCCATCAGAGAAATACAAATCAAAACCACAATGAGACACCATCTCACACCAGTTAGAATGGCAATCATTAAAAAGTCAGGAAACATCAGGTGCTGGAGAGGATGTGGAGAAATAGGAACACTTTTACACTGTTGGTGGGACTGTAAACTAGTTCAACCATTGTGAAAGTCAGTGTGGCAATTCCTCAGGGATATAGAACTAGAAATACCATTTGACCCAGCCATCCCATTACTGGGTACATACCCAAAGGATTATAAATCATGCTGCTATAAAGACACATGCACACGTATATTCATTGTGGCACTATTCACAATAGCAAAGACTTGGAACCAACTCAAATGTCCAACAATGATAGACTGGATTAAGAAAATGTGGCACATACACACCATGGAATACTATGCAGCCCTAAAAAATGATGAGTTCATGTCCTTTGTAGGGACATGGATGAAGCTGGAAACCATCATTCTCAGCAAACTATCACAAGGACAAAAAACCAAACACCACGTGTTCTCACTCATAGGTGGGAATTGAACAATGAGAACACATGGACACAGGAAGGGGAACATCACACACTGGTGCCTGTTATGGGGTGAAGGGATGGGGGGGGATAGCATTAGAAGGTATACCTAATGTAAATGACGAGTTAATGGGTGCAGCACACCAACATGGCACATGTATACATATGTAACAAACCTGCACATGGTGCACATGTACCCTAGAACTTAAAGTATAATAAATAAATAAATAAATAAACAAATAAATAATTTGGTTATTTGGGTTTCTGTGTGATTCCATAGAAGTTTTATTGTTCTTTTTTACTTTCTGTGAAAATACCATTGGAATTTTAATACGAATGGCACTGAATCTGTAGATTCTTTTGGGTAGTATATAACTACCAATATTGTCTTTCAGTTCATGAACAAGAGACACCTTTCCATTTGTCTTGTTTAATATTTTGCATCAGTGTTTTGTAGTTTCCAGTTTATGTCTTTTACCTCCTCAGTTAAGTTTATTTCTAAGTACATTATTTATTTTAGTCCTATTGTAAATAGAATTGTCTTTCTAATTTCCTTTCCAGATAGTTTAATATTAGCATATAAAATTTACAACTGATTTTGTATGTTGATTTTGTATCCTGCAGCTTTACAGAATTTGTCTACAGTTCTAACAGGTTTTTTAATAATGGAGTTTCTAAAGTTTCTACATAATATCATATCATTTACAGACAGGGACAAATTTACTGCTTTCTTTCTGATTCGTGTATATATATATTTAATTTGTCTTGCCTAATTGCTCTGGCTAGGACTTCCAGTACTACACTGAATAGAAGTGGTGAGAGTGGGCATTCTTGCCTTGTTCCAGATCTTTGAGAAAAAGCTTTCAGTTTATCACTAATATAGTTGGGACATGTGTCCCTACCCAAATCTCATGTTGAATTGTAATGCCTAATATTGGAGGTGGAGCCTGGTAGGAGGTGACTGATTCATGGTGGTGAATTTCTCATGAATGATTTAGCACCATCACTTTGGTGTGATTCTCATGATAGTGAGTGAGTTCTCACAAGATCTGGCTGTTTAAAAGTGTGTGGCACCTACCTCCCTCTCTCTCTTGCCCATGCTCTGGTCATATGATATGTCTGCTCTACCTTCACCTTCTGTCATGATTGTTAAGTTTCCTGAAGCATCCCTAGAAGCTGAGCAGATGCCAGCATCATGCTTCCTGTACAGCCTGCAGAACTGTGAGCCAATTACACTTTTTTCCTTTATAAATTACCCCATCTCAGAAATTCTTCATAGCAATGCAGGAATGGCTTAATACAATCACCATTGAGAGTGATGTCATAACTCCTCAATACTATAAATGAAGTAGGTAGTAATATCAACTCATTTAAGGCAAGGAAAAAAGAGATTGCATATTCTTACCTGGACTGAGAGATTTCTGTTTAAATCCTGTCACTCTGCTCATTTTCTGACATTCACAAGTTTGAAACAAAGTAACACTTGTAAAATTCTTTCACTTAGAGCCAGATGCATAGTAGGTACTATTAGCTAATCTGAATCTGAAATTGAATTTGGCAAGAAAGAAAAAGAATATTAAAATTCTTTACCCTATGACTTTCATATCTAACTAAATCAAAATACACTTTCCTCATGTGTGTTTTTGAGACATTTTCCATTATGCTTTGCAATATCTTTGTGTTATGAGCAAGTGCTTAATATATAGATGTAGATATAGATGCAGCTCTATTAACGTACATACTTTAAATGTAGAAAAAGTGTTTCTTCTTACTAGATCATACAAATTAACTGGATAGTGGATAGAATTCAGTATTGATTCACTTAAAGTGAAAAGTATTGAAGCATTGTATACTTAATTTTGCATTCACCATGGGAAATACATGGGAGATATTTATGGATGTCTGCATGTGATTTGAGTAAGAGCTGCCATTCTGAAAGGTGGATATTATTCATCATATTGCCTTTATAGTAATGGAAAATAGAAAACCATCAGGAGCAGGTTGGTCACTAAACAGGCCCCCAGATAGGAATATTGGTAAAGTCAACATAAGTTCAATGTCAGCTCAAGCTGAAGTCAAAAAACCTCATCGTGCATCCACATATCAGACTCAGGGCCACTATCTGTCATTAATCAAGTCCCCCAAACATTGAAGAATACAGTGTTCCAGATTATTAAGTAAAAATAAGAATTATGACTGACAAAGGGCATTAAATGCAAATGCAAGCATTTGAGTCAGTAAATCCTCTGATTATGGAAACTCTTTCAAATAATGAACAATAGGTCTATTAATTAATTCATTTATTCATTCACTCAAGAGGTTGAGCTACATACTTGAGATGCAATGTTTAGCAAAAGTGGAAACTCTCTGTCATCTGGAACTTTATAAATTAGCTGAAGTGTTAGATGTACAGTAAAAATGCGCAAATAACTGTAAAATTACATCTGTGTAAATAGACATAAAGAAGTACATGTCATAAAGCTGTGTGAGCCTCAGGCAGTATAAAGGTGGTTTATTTACTTGTCCTCAACTACAAAAGCCTGTTGAACTCATGCCTCCATTTTCATAGATAAAAAAATTCCTATAGTCAGGACTTCACTTAACTTGGAAAAGGAACACTTACAATTCTCCATATAATAAGCCCATGTTTCTGTATTTTCTTTCTTTTTTATAAAGGTATACGTGTGCCATTTTTAATAATCCTTATTTTATGGAATTTTTTCCAGCCAATTGCTTAATTACCTGTGTGGATGACGTATAATTATACCTTGAACTTAATATATAACTTGAAAATATATTTGAATTATTCTCTGGCTATCTAAGATTATTGATTAAATTTTCTGTCTATATTCCCTGAACTGACTATACCTCTTCACTTGTCATGTTCCTAATTGAGATGTTAATAAAATCAATTCGATTAGAAATAAGTCACACCTGTGCTGTTCCTGCTACCATTGTTGATCAAAAAATCATAATAAAAATCATGAATACTATTCACTTTTTAGAATGGCAGATACCTTTGCTGTTTCTGACTGTGTTTTCGATATATTTTCTGCAAATAACTGAATTCATCTATCAGGTGATGGCTCTACCAGAGTTGGAACGGTCATGATCTTTCAGCTAAATTCACCAATGGTTTATGTCCGAATATAATGCTGTGTCTTACCTGGAGGTGGAGCAGGCTGACTAACTTCCCTTCCATTTCCTTTAACTATGTGTTGAGGAGGGTGGTCACAATGAGTTTCCAAGGACTATTTCACAGAAACCTACACACAAGTGTTCACATGTTGATTCCCAGAACTGTCTGTGTAGTGCATTACCTAAACAGTCAAGGGCAGAAGGAACAATAACACATGAATTATTTCCCTTGGAAAAATCAGATAGTTAAAATTCATTTGAATTCTCAGAAAATAACACCTGATTTCCTTACCTCATTTTCTAACTGCTGCCAATAAGGTTTGGTCTGAAAAGTGGGTGGAGTGAAATCAAGAATGACATGGGTTGATGTTCATGGATGTATTCTTCTACCAGTGGAAATGTTTATAAAACTAAACAAAATGTTCAAAGAGGAGTGTGCATAATTTATTTGTCTATAATACAGTCCGGCAACTCTCACAGTAGAGCCGACTGAGGAACTTCTATTGATTTCCATTGTTGTGAAGACATTTTAGACCTCAAAATTAAAGAGATGGAGCAAGTTGCAGCCTTTTGGGGAAATGAGTTCATCATTTGGAGGCTGCTTGGCTACGTGGCATATGCAAGAGAGTAAGAAAAATATACGTCTTCTATTTCAAGTATCTAGATATTTGAAAATCACCCCATACTGAAATTTGCCATGGAACCAGCCATGCCATTCTCATTAAGTTTACAATGCCTATTGTTAAAAGAAATAGTTCTTACTGTGGGGAGAAAATTATACCCAGCAATTCCAGCCTGTAATAGTCTGCAAAAATAACTCCTAATTGACTGTTGAGAGTAATGATAACATGATTTAAAACATAACGTTGGCACCAGAAAATTTATTGCAGAAGACCAATCTGAGGGTTGAGCTGTCAGTAAAGCAACCCATTGAATTTTTCCAAGCGAATTCAAATAAAAACAGTAAGATTAAAAGTGATAACACAGTGCCAATGAGATAAGAATTTCTGCAAAATTAGATTACAGCCTTTTTGTGACCATAAAAACCATATTATCCTTGACATTGCTAAATCAATCACTGCAAGAATATTATCTTTACAAGTTAAACTACTGCTTCTTAGATTGAACCTGAAGAGTCCGGTCTGTTTTTCTGCTATTTGAGAAACAGAAGTGATGCTTCTTTTACATATATTTTGTCTGAAGAGGGATGAATGCTTTGCAAGCAGCTTTGTGACAAAGAAATCACACCATTTACCCATAACGTCACCAAAGGTATCATTTAGATTCAAAGGAAAAAAAAAAGAAACATTTGCAGAGTATTAAATTGTGAAATGCAATAACATCTACAACTTGTCATTTGGTCACTTATTGACATCCCATCACAATTTGTTAAAACCTAAGTTTATTTTTGTCTTTGTGCAACATAGGTAAGCATTTCCAGAAAACTCTGTTCATTCCTCAGCAATTCAGGCATCTTTGATGAATAGTTTTTATTTAGGATACTGTTTTCCCTGTGGAGTGAGGAATTATCTTTATGTCCCTGTTCTGATTGTTCAGTAGGACAAAAAAGAACAAGAGAATAATCTTCTGTTTATGCAAACATGAAATTCTAGACAATAGGTTTAAGACCATAACATCTTGACCACTGACTTCTCTGAAGCAAAATGCACATGATAAGAACATAGACTCTTATGGGACCTGAAGTTGAATTCTGTCTACATTTCAGGGTAGCAATATGAGTTTGGCGAAGCCAGGTAACTGCTCTTCCCTGAGTTTCTTATCAGTAAAAAGTGTATAATAATTTTGATAGGGTTGGTGTGAGAATTAAATTAAATACAAATCATGAAGCTTGACACATAGAAAGCACTTGGCACATTGAATTATCATTATTAACATTATCATCTTCATCCATATCATTTGTGCTTCAAAACTATATTAACTAAATTACTATGTATTAAAATATGATGTCTTGTTTAAAATACCAAATTTTTGAGCATGCTGTTTTTTCTATCTGAAAGACCTCCAGATGTAAAGATGGCCTGGAAAATATTCATCAACATACAAGATTTACTTTTAAATATTTAAAAAGTAATAGATAGGTGGAGATAATTGATTCATCTTTGATTATCCTGGCAGATGAATTGATGCTATTTTCTTTCGATCTACTTCACAGGGCTTATGGGAACACTAACTTTGGACTTTCACTTGGCATGTAAGCATTCTCTAGCTTCTCTTTCTACCTAATAGAGTTTGAATTCCTTGGAGATAACTCCAGAATCCAACATGTAGAAGGTGTTGAAGTATGCTTCTTAAAGAAGAGGCTGTTTTTATGATATTTTGTTAGCTTTTAAAATCGACTTTATTTTTTTAGAACAGTTTTAGGTTCAGAACAAAATTGAGTGGAAAGTATAGCGTTCCCACATACCTTCTGCCCCGTACACATACAGAGTTCTTCAATATGAACAAGTAACACTAGAGTGGTCCATTTGTTACAATCAATGAACATAAATTAACACATTGTTGTCACAAAAAGTCCACAGTTTGCATTAAGATTCACTCTTGGTGTTGTATATTGTATGTGTTTGGAAAAATACACAATGATACAGGCCTACAATTACAGAATCGTACAGAATTAGTTTGATGAAAATCTTAGCTTGCACTGAAATTCCTCTGTGCTCTGCCGAATCCATAGTTCCTTTCCTTCTAAATCCTTATGACCACTGATTTTATTACTGCCTCCATAATTTTCCCTTTTTCAGAATGTCATGTACTTAGAATCATATAGCCTGTAGCCTGTGAAGATTGGCTTCTTTCATTAATAAAACGCATTTAAGTTTCTTCCATATCTTTTCGTGTTTTGATAGCTTATTTCTTCTTTGCACTGAATAATATTCCATTGTCTGGAAGAACCATGGTTTATTTATCTATTCACCTACTGAAGGACATCTTGGTTGCTTCCAAGTTTTCACAATTACAAATAAAGCTGTTATAAACATTGTGGGCAGGTTTCTGTGTGGACATAAGTTTTTAATTTATTTGGATAAATACCAAGGATCATGATTGTTGGATCATGTTGTAAGAGTATGTTTAGTTTTGTATATGTCTAGTTTTATAAGAAGCTGCCAGCCTGTCTTTTAAAATAGCTGTTCCACTTTGCATCTACACCAGCAATGAATTCAGGTTTCCGTTGTTTCACATGCTGGCTAGCATTTGGTGTGGTCAGTGTTTTAGCTTTTGGACATTCTAATAGGTATGCACTACTATCTTATTGTAGCTTTAATTTACAATTTTCTAATGACATACGATGTTGAGCAACTTTTGATAAGTTATTTGCCATCTAAATATCTTTTTTAGTGTAGTGTCTTCTCAGGGCTTTGGCCTGGTTTTTAATTGATTCTTTTGTTTGTTTGTTTCCTTAATGCTGATTTTTAAGGGTTTTTTACATAGTTTTGTTCCTTATTAGGTATGTATTTTTCAAGTAATGCTCCTCATCTGTGTCTTATTGTTTTATTCCCTTGACAAGTCTTTTGCAGAGTGGAAGTTTGGGTTGTTAAAATTTTAGTAAAGCCTAGTTTATCAATTATTTTTATCATAGAACATATCTTTGGTCTTTCATCAAAAAAGTTATTACAATACCCGAAGTCATCTAGATTTTCTGTTATGTTATCTTCCAGGAGTTTTATGATTTTGTATTATATATAGTTCTGTGATCTATTTTGAATTAATTTTTTGAAGAGTGTATTACAGAATGAATTATAGTCCCCCTAAAAAATTCATGAGATGAAACTCTAACCATCAACGAGACTCTATTTGGAGAAAGAGCCTTGAAGGAGGTAATTACATTTAAATGAGGTCATGAGGGTGCATCTCGAATCAAACTGCACTAGTGTCTTTATAAGAAGAGGAAGAGATACAAAGAGTGTACGCACAGATAAAAAAGCCTTGTGAAATCCACAGCAAAAAGGCAGATGTCTAAAAGCCAAGAAGAAAGGCCTCTAGAGAAACCAAACCTACTGACACCTTGATCTTGGACTTCCAGGCTCCAGATCTGTAAGAATACAAATTTCTGTAGTTTAAACTACCCAATCAGTTATATTCAGTTATAGAGGCCCTCAGTTGACTACTACCAGTTATAACCATTCTGTTTAGGTATTTTTTTTTGTATGTAAATGTCCAATTGTTCTAGCACAATTTTTGGAAAATGCTATCATTTCTCAATTGCATTATTTTAGCTCCTTTGCTAAAGATCAGGTGGCTATATTTCTGTGGGTCTATTGCTAGTATTTATTTTGTTTCTTTGATTTGTTTGTCTATTCTTTCATAAATACCATCTTGTCTTGATTACTGTAGCTTTATAGTAAATCTTGAAACTGGAGAGTGTCAGTTCTACTTTAATATTGTGTTGGCTCTTCTAGGTCCTTTGCCTTTCCATATAAGCTATGAAATCAGTTTGTCAATATTCATAAAATAATTTGCTGAGATTTTAATTGAGACTTCAATGAATAGTTCAAATTAGAAAGAACTGACATCTTGAAAATATTGAGTCTTCCTATTTACAAACATGAAATATCCCTCTATTTATTTAGTTTACCTTTGATTTCTTTCAGCAGCGTTTCAATGTTCTCTTCATATAGATATTACACATATTTTGTTGGATTTATACCTAAGTATTTTTATTTTGGGGGATGCTAACGTAAACAGTATTGTGTTTTTAATTTCAAATTCTACTTGTTCGTTGCTGGTTTATAGAAATGTGATTGGCTTTTGCATGTACATCTTGTATCCTTCAACCTTGCTACAATTGTTTATTAGTTGCAAGAGTGTTGTTGTTGATTATTTAAGCCCCTCCCACAAAAATTCATGAAATGAAACCCTAACCTTCAATGTGATTGTATATGCAGATTTTATGCATAAAAATGTTATCTGTAAATAGTTTTATTTATTTCATCCTATCTGTATACATTTTATTTCCTTTTCTTCTCATTGCATTAGCTAGTATTTTTAGTATGAGTATTAAAAGGAGTGATGTTGTCTTGTTCTTAATCTGAGTGGAAAAGCTAGTTCCTCGACACATTTTGTTCTTTTTTTGTAATGATTTCATATGCGATAGTCATACTTGGCCAAAAAAAATATACTTCAAATTGAGTTCATTGGGTGTATTTTCAAGGGCCTATTTTCAGCCACAAATTACCTCACAGTCTTACTTATGAATCACTTAGAAAGAAGCATGTCTTTGGTAGGGTCTATTTGTTAGTCCAATTAAAATTCACTTCAGGAATGGAATATACCACATTTCTCTTCACCACTTAGTATTATAGCATCTTGACTTTAAGAATTTGATCACTGTATTTATATTTTTACTTCATATTTTACTTCAGATTTTGTATTCTTTAACAAGAATGATAAAACATATAATCTAACAAAATCCCACCCCCTTTTATTCTGCCTTTCTTGTAATGTAAATGCTAATTAATTAGATTGTAAATTAAAAGGTAAAGAAAGTATAACAATGATTATTCAATATGTCCCTCTTTTAGACAAGTGAATGGCTTGGTTGAAAATTAAGCACACAAATTTAGTATGAAGTACTTAGGAAAGAGTACTCTAAGTTTAGGCGACAAAAATAAAAACAACAACTACTTCATATACATATAAAATATATTGAGATACAAATTGTTTTGATTTAAATTCTAAGGTAGTAAAAGTAATCTAATAATTCATAAATTGTTGTTGAGCTCCATATATCAGGTTTCTCATTTATTGTAATTTTGTTGTATGAAGGTCACAATTAAGAAAATGTTCTTCTTGCTGTGCATTTTCAATTCCTTTATGGGCAGAAGTAGTATGTATTACTTATAGCCAGAAAGAAATTGGTCATTTATTCTATCTGTGATAACTAAAAGATTCTGAAAGCTGTTTCAAGATTTTTTTATTTTTAAAGTACAATTAATGATATTTCCAGATAGTAACTTTGGTGCATTATTAAAAGCATGAAACCTAAATAAGCTATTTTATATTCATCTTGCAACTCAGGTAAATATACTAAATTAGGAACTTAAAAATATATTTCATGGCTCTAATTTGGTTGGTTATATAAGAAAGAGAAAGTGCATGAAGCTGCAAAATATGAGCATATTCTCTGACTTTCCTTTTATTAACAAATAGAGTATAAAAGTCAATGTATTTTATTTTAGTTTTTCATTCCATTTCTAAAGTATGGTTTTAAACCTCCTTAATCTTTAAAATGATGCTATTTATTTCTGATTTGTGGCAGTGTCAGGGAAACATAAGAAAGTAGACCCACAATGGTTAATATATTGAAGACATTGTTTGCGTTGAGTGTTTCCTTATATGCAGTAAATTCTACCAGATATCGTAACCTTGAGCATCACCTGTATTTGATTGCTTAGAATTCCAAATCTGATTCATAAAATCACCTCCAGTGTGTGAATGGGTTTACTACGTAATTTTTCTTTTCAAATAGG
Organism: Homo sapiens; assembly: GCF_000001405.40. NCBI lineage: Eukaryota > Metazoa > Chordata > Mammalia > Primates > Hominidae > Homo > Homo sapiens. The sequence continues at coordinate 64,786,142 of NC_000016.10, forward strand.
CCATTATTGTAGTCTCCCACCTAAACCCTAAGTATGCTGTTATTAACTTGCTTTTAAGTTCTTCAATAAAGCAACATTTAGGATGTATATAAAAACGCTGCATTTTTATTAAACAGCCCTAGAGGAAGGAAAGGCTATTTTAATGTGGCATCAACAGTGTGGTTCTGTGGTTCTATTCAATTAGCATTGGCTTGCCAACCTCTTTAAGTACTGGCACCATGTCCAAGTGTGCTTATTAGCAGCTTTTCTCTTTTCTATATATTTCCCCCCATATCTTTAAGCTCCGGTAATAATATATCATAGATTTTTTTCAAGTTAAGTAAAACCTGTCTCCATCTTTCTCTGTCCTTGTCTTTCATACACACACAGTCCTTGCCTTCTAAGGATATATAACATTCAGATAGAGAGAGATAGATGATAGATAGATAGATAGATAGATAGATAGATAGATAGATAGATACACAGACAGACAGAGGTATATATAGAAGCATAAACAGACATGAACTAGGGCAATATAAATGGTGACATAGAAAAGATAATACATTTTAAAACTTTTTTAAAATTTCAAATTAATAGTATTCAATGATTAATTGATGTGTAGGTGAGCCAACATTAGACGTCAAAAATAATTATCTAATTTCTGATTTGGATGGCAGCAAGTTTAAGATCCATATATAAAATAATTAGCAAGTTAAATTGGAATATGTATAAATATAGCTAAATTTTATTTATTTAGGGCTTAGTGTGCCTAAACACTTTACATGCACTGTCCTATTTAATCCTCAAAACATTAGAATAAGGAAAGTGAAACCCAGGGAGTTAAGAAACATGACAATGGTCATATCTATAATACATACTTAGCAGGATTCATGGCCAGACATTCTGATGCCAGACACCATTCTATTAGTAACCATCACCTTATGGCATGCTGAGTTTGAGATTCTCATGCCAAGATAGACAGAAGTGCCCCAAAATATGTTGGATATGGCATTGTAAAACTCATAAAGAATGGGTTTTGGCACTTGGTAGAGTTACCCAAGGGGGCAAGTGCATGTTAAAATAGTGGTCCTACAGACAGAGTGCTAGGCAATGCCAACATTCATGGGAAGAGCTGAGGAGAGACTGAAGTGATGAGACCAAAAAGTAGCATTAATAGAAGGGGGAGAAGACTCAAAGAATGCAGAATAACCAATGTCAAGATGGCCGATAATTTTGAGAAAGAGAATAGTCCAAATTAACACCGATGTCAACATCAAGCAGAGAAGCGAATCATAGGACAAGAACATCATGGTTATTGGGCAGAAACCCTTAAGAGACCATTTCCAACCTTTGCCAAGGGTAACTGCAGCTTAGGAGCAGGGAAGGACCAGGCTGCAGTAAGTGAGAATAGGTTAGCAGGGAAGGGGTCTAAGTGAGCTAAGATTATAAGAATGCTCAGAAGATGCCCTTGCCCATGGTGTGGTCATCATAGGCATTATTATGTTTACCTGTATTGTCTTTTGCAGTGGAACCTGTGCATAGTGTATCATACAGAAATTTCATGCATAGATCCTGCTAGAAATAACTTAGACTATGACCTCTGAATTTTTAGCAGTGTGGGAAGATTTTAATAAAATGATATTTTGAAGATTTTTTTATTTAAGCCCAGAATATGCAGGAGATATATTTAAGTCCACCAAAAGAGCTTCATTTGGTAAAGCAAAAATGCCACAATCTTTTAAAATTGGTATTTTTTCTAAAACTGAAAATTTCACACATTTTACATTTCATTTGCTAACTTTCACAGCAGGTCTCCAAAAACCCAACTTCCTACTGAAATGTGTTTCCAAGCAATTTCATTTGGAAACAGAGAACTGTCTTGACCTTTTCATGGGTGTTAACTCTGCATCCTAAAAGACTTCAGAGGCAACACTCAACAGGTGTCCAAATATTCCAGGATAATATGATTCCTATTTTTAGATAGCATTTTTCCATAGCTAAAAAAAAAAATAGATTAGTCAATCAGTTCTCTTTTAAAAGGCCTTCTGGAAAAGCAGTTTTCTACCTTTGAGTTTGCATTGCATTTACCCCTTTGTGTGTTCCATTAAGTATCATTACATGGCCTTTTACATCTAGCAATATATGGCTCTAAAATGGAAAACTCCAGTTGTTTCTGTCTCAAGGCTTTGAATCAAGAATCACAAAGCCTGTTGATCGACATTTAGCTTGCTTCCAAATCTTGTCTATTGTAAACAGTACTGCAAAAAATATAGGAATACTGATTTTCTTTCTATTGTGTATATACCCAGGAGTGGGATTGCTGGATCATAACATCATACGGTAGCTCAATATTTAGATTTTCAGGACCCTCCAAACTGTCCCCCATAGAGGTTGTACCAATTTACATTCTTACTAACAGTGTACAAGGATTCCCTTTTCTCCACATTTGTTGCTGCCTGTCTTTTGGATATAAACCATTTTAACTGAAGTGAAATGATATCTCATTGTAGCTTTGATTTGCATTTCTCTGATGGTCAATGATGTTGAGCACCTTTTCAGATGCCTGTTTGCCATTTGTATGTCTTCTTTTGAGAGATGTCTATTCAAATACTTTGCCCATTTTTTGATTGGATTATTAGATTTTTACCCACAAAAATATTTAAAAATAATAAGAATAATAAAAAATAGAGCAATAAAAAAGAAACACAAAACTATGGAAAGAGAACTCTTTATCATCATCTGTTCTCCAAGGGAACAGCTCTACTAAGAGGATTCTTCAGGCCTCTGCTCAGAGTGAAATAAGTTTTGTCAAACAGTAAAGAAAGATTTGAGGTGGGAAAATCAATCATCATTTTCCTTCATTTTATTTATTCAAGTTTCATGCAGCTCATTTTTTTAAAGAATGAGTGTCATTTTATAAGTGGTTAAGAAATGTGGATATACATCACTAGCTTCATTGTACAGCTGAAGGAAATGGAGGTCTAGAAATGTAAGATGACTTGCCCAGGGTTTCACCATCAATTCGTGGCAGAGTGTGTTCATTAAAGTCTTCTGGGCTGCAAGCTAAAGAAACCAACTTCAACTTTTTCAAAAAAAAGTAAGAACTCATTGGAAAAGCACTAGGGTAGCTCACAGAATAAAAACAAAAGGTTAACAACCAAGCCTCAGGTGGAGAGAAACCAGTGTAGTATAGGGACAGTCACTGTAAGGCCTCCTTTCTAGAACATGGCCAACGGAGACTCTACTCGGACACCATCTGGTGATGTGGTCAATTCCATGCTCAGCGTTCAAATTCCCACTGAAGAAAATCTGACTGGCTGAGCTTGTGTCAAGAGACACTTACCTGGGTATGTAAAGACTATGGTTTGGGGTTTGCAGAGCCACAACCTCTGGCAAAACATTGAAGAATCTCATACTCAACTGTGGCTCACAAATCAGTGTTTATATTGTCTGATTTTCTACTCACATTGTCTTTGCTGACATGAGCATCATTTGAGGAGCTTTTAAAAAATAGCAGTAGTCAGGCCCTACTCCTAGATACTAAATGAGTTACTCTGAGTAGAGGTGAGCCCTGTTTATTTGTTTGTTTTTATGCTTTACTTTTTAAATGATTCTAATGTGCAACCTAATTATGGAATCTGTGGGGAAGAAGATGTTGCCTCCAGCAGAAGTTAAGTAAAAAGGAAGGAAGCAATGAATGAAACAAGACAGCATCCACTGATTGGCAAAGAGCTCAGAAACTATCTAGGCACTTTATTCCCATATTTTAGTCCAGGTCAGAATAACCAAGGAAACCTGTGCTAACATCTAGATTGCAAAGTCCCATTTTAGACCCACTGAATATGTAAAAATCCTGGAACCTGTATTATTGCAACTCTCTTCAGGTGGTTCTCATAGAGGCACACCTGTGCTGGCTCTGTTGTTCTAAATCTGAAATGCTCAACTATGCTGACTCTAGGCCAGTAGTTCTCAAACTTGAGCATGCATCAGAATCACCTGGAAGACTTGTGAAGCTAGAGATTGCTGGGCTCCACCATAGTTGTTTCTGATTCAGTAGGTCTGAATTGGGGCCCAAGAACTAGCATTTCTGAGTATACTGGTGATACTGGTACTGCTGGTCCGGGAACTACACTTTGAGAACCATACTCTTAAGGGATTAGAGCTTATTCTCCCACAAAACGCTGATTGCAAAAGGTTTCTGCAGTAGAATCCATGACAGTAGTCCTAGAGGAAAGCCATTAATGGAGAGCTACTTCAGAGCAGGGCAAGAGGTGCAAGCTTCATGCAAAAGAAAATGGCATATGCATATTAAAAATACAATTCTACAGCACACTATGGGGCATTATTGAGCCCACAGCCTCTGACCTGGCATGCCTTAATTTGACCTCACATAGTTGGTTTTGCCAATATTTGGCACATCTCTTTTGAAATGAGTCCTGGTTCAAAATCCTATATTTTTCTGAGATAACCAGTGCTTTGAAAATTCATCATAGTATCTCTTTCCAAATATTTAAGGACAGTTTCTTTCACTGCCCAGACATTCATTAAATTATCTTAAATCATTAAATTAAACTAAATTAATGATCATAAATCATTCATTAGATTTCCCATTTAGCAGAAATGCTTGAAACGCCGATCATGTGCTTTGCTGAACTCTGAGAAAACAAACATAAAAATGAGAGATTTGGTGTTTCAGATGGTATCACCTATATACACACACATTTATTTGGTATACCCATGTATTTATGTAACAGTACAATGAAATATAAATAAAGGAGTTTTCACTACACTATATAGAGACGTAAGGTATGTTGGCAGGTCAGAGAAGCCTTTATAAACATGAACACTTAAAGTTATATAAGTCGATAAACCAGGTAAAGGGAATACTCCCAGAAAACAGCAGGACATGCAAAGTCATAGAATGAAGAGAAATCTATGGCCAAGCGGCAAAAACTGATGCTTCTTGATGAGTAGAAAGAAGACATAAAGGAGGCAGGCAGAGGCCTACCTTGGAGGTGTTCATGGCCATGTTAAAGTGCTAAGCAGATACCACAAGACCACGTGTAGGGATTTATATTAGCGGTTCCTAGTCCTAATGTTACAATAGCTGGGGGAATTAACTGGGTTTGGTGGTGCATGCTTGTAGTCCTAGCTACTTGGGAGGCTGAGGCAGGAAGATTGCTTGAGCCTTGGAAGTCAAGGATTCAGTGAGCTGTGATTACACCACTGCACTCCAGCCTGAGTTACAGACAATAACCCTGTCTCAAAAAGAAAAAGAAAAGAACCATCTGGGAAGTTGTAAAACAATACCATAACCATACTTGGTCTCTTGTCCAAATTTATGTAGTTGGAATCTCTAAAGATGGGTCAAGGGCATCAGTATTTTTAGAGACTTTCCTGTTAATTCTAATATTCAGCCATGGGTGATAATGGATTAATTATAGCATCATATTTGCTAATAGTCAAGATGGTTCTGGCATCCAGATTCAAGGGTAGATTGGAATGGACATAACTGAAAGCAAGAAGAGCAATTAGGAAGTTATTGCATGAGGTCTAGAAACACGATAAATCCTGAACTTGGTAGTTTCAGTGGTAATGGGGAAGAATGAACTTTAGGCAGGATTTCAAGGTAGTAGGGTTTACAGAGTGTGGTTTCTGATTGAAAGTGTTGGACGAGGAATGTGGAGGGGACTAACTGAATCCCCAAGTCCCTGCCTTGGCCATACCTCATTTAGCTTTCCCTTATTTTCAATTCCATAGTGTTTCCCTGGACAAGTTCTGCGAACTAGATACAAATTGAGCAAGACATTACTTTCCTGTATTCTAGGCCTGGTTATCTCCCCAGAGCAATCATCTTAACATCAAGGTCCTGAGCAATGTGTCATAGAATTTTCCTTCCAGTTTAAAACTAGTTATATTTCTCATGGCAAATAACCAAGCACATTTGGCAAAAAAAAAAAAAAAAAAAAAAAAAGCATGTACTTAAAAGTGAAGCTACCACAGTGATTATTTTCCCTTCTATTTTAAAGTACATTTACATTTGGGGAAAAAATAGCAGGTAAAGTTCTAACTGTAATTTAATGCATGGTCTAATACTTCCATTTATCAAAATGTCAGCTGCCAAACAATCAGCACAAACCAACATTGTTTCTGGGGAACTGGCCCACTCAAAAGACAATATCTCTGAAGGGAGTTTTAAACAACCAAGAGTGAACAAATTTCTCCTTTTTTGTAAATTGATGTCTGCCAGGGTAAAGGTATGGGGAAAAAAAGGATGCACCTGCATTGTCTTGTAATTGTAACTATGGCATTTGCAAAAACTGAACTAGATTTTCCCATTTTCATGTATGGTGCTTTCAATAGTTGTGTGTGTGTGTTTCTGCAGAAGCAATGAATTTGGTTAGACCTACAGGTGTAATTTTGTCAACTTTCACTCTTGCAATAAGCCCATGACACAGACAAAGAACAAACCGTTGTCTTTTTTGAATGACATTTACATGCATTCCACTGCACGTCATTTACAAAAAAGGAAACATGTCTTTTAACCAAAAAGACTCATAGGTGTAACAGCAAAAAGCAAAAGACTTTGCCTTATCCAGGATCACAAGGCTGGGAAGCCAAGAACCCAACTACAGGTTTCTAATTCTGAGTCTTAAAAACTTTTCATCACCTGCCCTACATCTCCAGTGTTGAGTCATCAACTTATTGTGGGAAAAGTAAGCTTTGAAAGCAGAGGAGTTTAACACAAAGCTCTTCCAATAGCGTGACCTCCAGTTCCTTACACACCTCTCTGAGCCTCAGTTTCCTCAAGGTTAAATTTGCCTGATATCCACATGTGCAGAATACTTTTGGAGAAACAGTAAGATATATGATTCTACACTACTGTCTCCATCACTTATACACACATATATCATTGGTTATGAGATTATAAGAGAGCAGAGATTTTGCTTTGGTTTCTGTTGAATCTTTCTGGAAATAACATCTCCAATGATGAAAGAAAGGAATTTGTAAAGCATATATTAAATACCTGAAAGCCTGCATGTATTATTTTCTCCCTCTTCTACGTTTTTATTTTCTACATATTTTATTGTAGAGGGTTCTAAGGGCCTGGATTTATGGTCTACTTTGTCTGACTGACACAAAGTCCTCCAGCCACCTCAGCAGAAATCAAACACACGGGATGACGGCACATCCATGAGGGACAGCTGGTATTCGTGACGGTGTATAAATAATAAATTTAGCGTTTAAAAATCTCACATAGGTCTTCTGATTTTATTAACCTAGACAACTTATAATAATTATGATAAACAGACATTGTCATTAAATATAGCAGCCATTTGATAAGATTAAACATAATGCAATACATCTTCCTTTCCTCACATTCAGTATAATAAATTACCCTTAGGCTTCTAAATGAAGCATTTTATAATTGAGCAAAACAGATCGATTTTTAGCGGTCCTTATTTATATGCAAAACAGACTTCTTGAGAATGGTAAACTTGATTAAAATCTCTCTAATTGCAAATCACAAGTAACTTTTTCTCCCAAGCCTTAACTATTCTATTAATGTATAATTTATGGCATACAAGGATAGTAAAATTCTAATGTGCTTATGATCCAGATGGAAGAAAGAGTTAAATAGAGAAAACAACAAAGTATATAAGATGGGAAGAAAATGGAATTAAAATTTTAAAAAATATTGCACTAGATAATGTCCCAGCTGTTACAGATGCCACAAAACAACAGAGATTGGTATAGAATATAATAGCGGAATCAGCCTCAGGAGACTTTAAAGAGGTTTCCATGGAAGATCTAGATTTAGAGAGGAAAAAGTCCTCAGAAAATGCATGAACCATTCATTGGCTATGGAAAGCAAGTTTGCAAATGTGACCTATTTGGGTCTGTTTGGGAGCCCATAGCTACACCCCTACTCAAAATCACAAGTCTGTTCTGGTCATTAACCAATGATTAAGACGTGAAATCCTAGGCGAGTGGCCTTTTACCTAACTGCATGTCATTTATTAAAAAAAAAAAAAAAAAGGAAACATGGCTTTTAACCAAAAAGATATATCGGTGTAGCAACAAAAATAAGGCCCCAGTTGATGTCAGTCATGGCCTCTGCAGGTATCCCCCTCCCCAACTGGACCAATTCCACATGACTCTTTTGGGTTCTACTTTAGAAGTGAATCCAGTTGAGATGTGGAGATGTTCTCTTGGGGGGAAGACTTAAAGATTCAAAGTTTCTAATTGATGGCCCCCAATCAGCTTCTTCATGGGCATACATTTTATAACCACCTGCAGTTAACTTTTTTTCTATTCAGAAACCAGCTTTATTTCCTATTCAGAAATAGGGCTACTCTTAACAGGAGTACTTATTGTTAAGTAAAAGTACATGATGTAATTTCTTCTCTAGTAAAGGTAAGTATTCAAAAAGAACCTCTGGATTCTCCCACGCTTGTAGGAAGTTGTTCACACAGGGGGATGGACCTGCATGTTAGTTTGCTTTCATCTATCCTTGGGAATATTGCACTCTTCAGAGTATAACATTCATCTGTTTGTTTGAAACTGCTTATTTGTCACCAATATACATAGTTTCCTTTCCCATGTCCTAATAGAAATTGTTTTATTGTAAAATATATAAATTATAAACTATTTCAATTGTGCACAAAGAACAAAAATATTATAAATAATAACTATGATTCATACAAATACATTTTATTTCAGGTGTAATTATTGGGTATATAGGATGGAGTAATCCTGCTCTGGGATTCAGTCATGAACAAGGTGAGCCTAGCTCCACTCTTAAAACAGACAATTATGAGAAGATGGATAATGGATTCTCATAAAAGCCATGATAGCCAAAGCCCAGGGGTGATGAGTCCATATGGTGGTGTGAAGGAAATCTCCCTGGGGGGTGAAACTGGAATTAATGAGGCTGATGTGCCTTTCTTTCTTCTGGACTCAGCATAATAAGTTACCTGTAAGCTGTAGAATGAAGCATTTTATAATGGAATAAAACAAGTCAATTTAGAGTCTGTATTTATAAGGAAAGTAAGATTTTTGCAACTGGTAACACTGGTTAGCAGTTGTGGAGAATGCCCCAGGATGGTTCCTCTCCCCACAAGATTCCCCAGGCAAATTGTGATGGGGAAAGTGCTCCGTGTTCAATCTGTTCTTGTTCATTCTTCTCTTACACAGAATGAGATGCAGGAACAGGTGCTATCAACCTAATGACCGTTGGTTCTTTTCACATGAAAGTGTCTCAGAAACATTTCACCTATTGACAAGCCCAGAACATGATATTTTGATAAGTTCTATCAGATTAAATTTAAATATTATCCCAGAGCATTAATTTCTCTGGCTAACAGTGTTGTTAGATTCAGTGCTACTCTTTTGATTGAAAGCAACTGAGCAAGGAATCATGATACTGCATGCCTTTGAAGAGTTTCAGGTTTGGGTAGCTGTCTGCAAAGGGCAATTTGTGATGGTGTCAACAGCATGTGGGCTCTAGAGGCTGATGTGAGAGGTAGAGAGAGAGTGAGCTGGACCTGTAGTTAGAAAGTTCAGGTTAGAGTTCTTCTCGGCCATGGATTCTGTGTGATCTGGCACAGATACCATTTTGGAAGCTGTGTTATCTCATATGCAGGATGCACATAGAAATATATTCCTCACCACAGGGTTTGTAGGAACACCAAGCAAAAAAGATCTGTAAGGTATATCTGTATTCTAAAGTAGTACAAATATTTTAGAATATTGGGTACATGTCACAATTCGTGAGGGAACAAAATTTTCCCAAGCTTATTCATTGTCTTGTAAAAAAGTCTATGGACAATTCTCAATTGAAGCATTCTACAAAAGACCTAACCAGTACTTCTCAAAATTGTCACGATCATCAAATCAAGGAAATTTGACAAACTGTCGCAGTCAACAGCCTCAGGAGATGTGACAACTGAATGCAATGTGACATTGTGGCATTCTGGGTGGCATTGTGAAACAGAAAAACAACATTAGATAAAAACTAAGGAAATATGAATTAAGTACAGACTTCAGTTAATAAAAATGTATCAATGTTGGTTCATTAATTTTAGCATATGTACCATACTATGTAAGATGTTAACAATAGGGGATGATGGTTATGGACTGTACAAGAATTCAATATCTTCACAATTTTTCTGTATATCTAAACAGTTCTAAAGTGAAAAGTTTATTTAATTTTGCTAAATGGCATTATAAAAAGTCCCATTTATTTATTTAGCCAACACATATGCATTGAGTAGCTGCTGCATGTGCCAGACACTGCTCTAGGAGCTGGTGATACAGCAATTAACAAGATAAAATGATGAGAGGTCACTTAATGGGTACCATGTATGTTATTTGAGTGACGAATACCCTAAAAGTCCAAAGTTTACCACTGTGGAATCTGGGCATGCAATAAAATTACACGTGTACCCCATACATTTCTACAAGTAAAAATAAATGTAAAAACACAAAAATAAAATAATTAAAAATAATAATTAATAAAAACAAAGTCCTGGTTGTTAGTTTATACACCAGTAAGGAAATGAAAATAAATAAAATGTAAATATATTTTAAATGATATCTTGTGCTGCTAAATGCTATGAACAAAGAAACACAGCATAACAGTGAGGAGGAGAGATTGACAAAGCGGAAAGAGGAGATCTCTTGGGGGAGGGGTCAGAGGAGATTTGAATCAGTAGCGGTACAGAGAGAGTGTGGCCATGCCAATACCTGGGGTGGGAGCATCCTATGCAGAGGTCCCAGTAAGTGTGAGACCTCTGAGACCAGAACAGGCTAGGGGTGCACTAGGAAAAGTAAGGAAGTCACCATCACTGGAAACAAGCCAGAAAGGGTAAGTGTGGGAGCAGATGAAGCCAGAGAGGCTCCAGTCACTATATTGGGCAGTGCCTTATCCTCCAAAATAACTACCTTAGATTTTGCTCTAGGTAGGTTGGAAAGTCATTGGAAGATTTTTGTGGAAGAGAGAAAAGAAATAATATTTCTATTTCTTAGCATTTTATTATGAAAAATTTCAATCATACAAAAAAATTGAATAAATTGTACAATGAATAGCCTGATGTATCCATCACTTACATTCTGTAATTGCTTTGCTATAGTTATTTTAGACCATGTCTATTCATCTGTTTGTTCATCTATCAATATGTCTTATTTTTTGATGCATTCCAAATTAAGTGTCAGAAAGTAGTCCAATTCCTATCAAATACTTTAGCACAACGTCATTAAGTAAAGTTTAGCCTTTGTTTACGGTTCTTTTTATTTAAGATGGAATTTATATGTATTAAAATGCACAAAGTTAAGTGTATCAATTCTAAGAGCTTTGACAAATGTACACGCCTGTGTAATCAAACCCTTAATAAGATATAGAATAACACATCTCCCCCAAGAGAGTCCGTCCTCCCCACCCACTTTTAGAGGCAACCTGTGGCCCTGTAATTCTACTTCCAGGTATATATTCAAGAAAATGAAAACATAGCCATGAAAAAACTTGTTCAACAAAGTTTATAGCAGTTTTATTGATAATGCACCAAACAGAAAACAGCCCAGTTATCCATCAGCAGGTAAATCAATTTAAAAAGTGGTGTATTCATACCATGGAATTCTCACAGCACTAAAAGCAGCAAACTACTGAAGCGCAGAATAATATGGATGAATCTCAAACACATTTTACTCCATAAAAGAAACCAGACACAAAAGAGTATACATACTGTCTATTTCCTTTCATGTGAAGTTCAAGAGCAGGAAAAGCTAACTCCTGGTTAAATAAGTATATAAGAAAGAAATGAGAATTCAACTTTAAAGGACCCTTTACCTGCTTTGGGCAGAACAAACTTCACTCCAGATGAATGAAGGCAAGAGAGAGCTTCCTGAATTTGCCCTAACTTCCTCGATTCTAAAGTACAGAGCTCAATAATTGTGGAATGAGTAAATGAAGAGCTGAATAAAAAGACCTGAGATCTAAGGAATCTTTCTCTAAAGATGGGACTCTCTGAAGTGAGACTACCTCCTAACATTTGTTGACAGCGATTCTCCAATCTGAAACCCTTGAGACAGGACTTATACACACTGCCTTTTATTCCCTCTCAAACCTTTACCCAGTACCTTTATTCATTGACCTGAAACACACATGCTAATTTCCAGACGGTATATGTTGATGCATCTTGGTCATTTCTGTCTCAAGCACCAACAACTTTACAAAGATATACATTTCAGAGCATTTATTAGGCTCTCATTATGCACTGTGTTCTTTTTTTTTCTTTATACTTTAAGTTCTGGGGTACATGGGCAAAACGTGGAGGTTTGTTGCATAGGTATATATGTGCCATGGTGGTTTGCTGCACCCATCAACCTGTCATCTACACTGGGTAATTCTCCTAATGCTATCCCTTCCCTACACCCCCACCCCGCGACAGAATCCCGTGTGTGATGTTCCCCTTCCTGTGTCTATGTGTTCTCATTGTTCAACTCCCACTTATGAGTGAGAACAGGCAGTGTTTGGTTTTCTGTTCCTGTGTTAGTTTGCTGAGAATGATGGTTTCCAGCTTCATCCATGTCCCTGAAAAGGACATAAACTCAACCTTTTTTATGGCTGCATATATACACTGAGTTCTTAAGCTAGCTGTCAGCAAGATAGAAGTAAATCACACATAATCACTCCGTGGACTATTGGGAGAGGCATACATATACCCATGGGATGAGAATCTGGGTATATGTATGCCTCTCCATACATATGGTTAAAATATGTAATATTCACGAAACAGTTCTTTCATGACAAGCAGGCATGCAAGTTGCTCCTGCTATATGTGTTACAGGAACTTAATTAGAATTATTTTTGGTGTACCTTCTATATTAGAAAGAACTATCACATGCTCAGTTCATGTTCCTTTGTTCTTAGAGTAGGAGGAGGACTCCCTTTTTTCAAACTAATCATTCATATCAATATAAACTAATATATATTTAACTTTACTGCAAAACACTGTATAATCACTAGCAATATTTTAATATGCATAGATGCATTTATTAATAATATGAGATTATATTACATAAAATATTTGGAGACCTGTTTTGTATATCTAATCAATATCACCTATATTTTTTTCCAAGCCAGTTAATATGTGCCCACATCCCACTTTAATTAATTATACAATATTCCATGGTGTGAATATAACATGTAATCAATCCCCTATTGGTGGACATTTAGGTTATTTCCAGTTTTAAACTTTTATGATATGGACTTCTTAATTTTTCTGGAAAATGAGGTTTCGCTATATGATTGCCTTTGTGTTACTTCCAGAATGCCAGTAAAACAGTTTTTTCCTGTTCACCTCTAACGGAAGGTTATAAATGGCACTACTTAGAGACCAGAAAAGGTTTCTAAAAGCTCAGGTGCTACCTAGCAGCTGATGCTTGCAAGATTTCAGCTCACCTAATGCATGGCTCATTAATCAAGTCGCAGGACTCCACCTAGAATAAAGCAGTTGGGGAAAACGACAACTGGCTTTGAGTACAGGAAACCAGTTATTGTTAACTCTGTGACCTAGGGTGTGTGATTTAGCCTCTCCAAAGCTTCGTTTCCAGATCTATCAAATGGAAATATTAATCGTTTGTTCTTGTGAAGTTGTTGGGGGGATCATGAGAGAAGGACTGTGGGTAAGACTGAATGAATTTTTCAAGGCTATTTAATTATATTTTGCTTTGTCCACATTTTCTGATGTTCCTAAGGAGAACTAATGCGATGAATGTAGTAAAACTTTTGGCAAAAGTTAAATTTAAACATCGTGTTCATGTGTCTTTATAGTAGAATGATTTACATTCTTTAGGTATATACCCAGTAATGGGAATGCTGGGTCAACTGGTATTTCTGGTTCTAGATCTTTGAGGAATCGCCATATTGCAGTCCTATTTGCAATAGCAAAGACATGGAATCAAACCAAATACCTGTCAATGATAGACTGGATAAAGAAAATGTGGTACATATACAATAAGGAATACTATGCAGCCATAAAATGGAATAAGATCATGTCCTTTTCGGGGACATGGATGAAGCTGGAAGCCATCATCCTCAGAAAACTAACCCAGAAACAGAAAACCAAACATCACATGTTCTCACTCATAAGTGGGAGGTGAACATTGAGAACACATGAACACAGAGAGGGGAACAACACACACCAGGGCCTGTTGCGGTTGCAGGGTGAGGGGAGGGAAATTAGAGGACTGGTCAGTATGTGCAGCAAACCACCATGGTACACATATACCTATGTAACAGACCTGCAAGTTCTGCATATGTATCCCTTTTTTTTTTAGTAGAAATTTTAAAAAAGTTAAATTTAAGAAGCAAAGGAAAATCCCTCAAACTATATAGCATAAATCCAATGCTCAGTTAAACTGACTTCATATAGGTGTTGAGATTTTCTAAGGTACTTCAGCCTGCAAAAGTGTCACATACAAACAGAAAGCTTTTCTGAGCCTCACTCATGTCCCAAAGTGGCTTAAACCAGGAACTCTTGAGTCAAGCTTACGTCTAAGTCTCCAAAGAAGAGATAAACTTTAACAAGCAGAGAGGTGGCTATTCAAAGCTGGGATGGAGTCTGGACAAAACGATTGTGCTATGGTGTACTTGAGACAGGAAATTTTCTTTCTTTTTTTTTTTTTTTTTTTTTTGAGACGGAGTCTCACTCTTTCGCCCAAGCTGGACTGCAGTAGCGCTATCCCGGCTCACTGCAAGCTCCGCCTCTTGGGTTCATGCCATTCTCCTGCCTCAGCCTCCCAAGTAGCTGAGATTACAGGCGCCCACCACCACGCCCGGCTAATTTTTTGTATTTTTAGTAGAGACGGGGTTTCACCGTGTTAGCCAGGATGGTCTCGATCTCCTGACCTCGTGATCCGCCCGCCTCGGCCTCCCAAAGTGCTGGGATTACAGGCGTGAGCCACCGCGCCCGGCCGAGACAGGAAATTTTCAAGTCACCATGACTTTCTCCTTCTTGGCATTTGTCATCATGGTGAATAGAAATTACTTCATGTAAGAATAAGTCATAATTTATAAGTTCTCCTGGTTCTTAATTTACTCTGTTTTTCTTAGAGCTGGCTTTATATATTGATTGTGCTTTAAGGTTACAAAGACTATTTAGACATTATCTCATTTAATGTTCACATTTGTGTAAAGTGTGCATTATTGGATTCATTTTCTACATTGCAATGTGAGGCCCAGTGTGCATGCAGCAGCTGGATCTGATCTTTGGATTCATGATCTAGCACCACTGATAACTGTTTATATCCTGTATGTGGGAGATACAATTCCATGATCCTCTGGAATCTAAGATAGTAAACAGGGATCCATGTTGAGCCAGGCACTGCACCAGACATTGAGAATGAAGTTCACCAGGTGTAGTCTCTTTTTTCACAAGGGAGATGTTTCTTCTCATCCCTCTCTAAATTCAGGAAAGTCCTATTTAGGCCATGACCTGACAAAGAATGCACGTGCACACACATGCACGTGCACACCCCACGCTCCCCCGCTACACACACACCAGGACAATGAACCAACTTCTGCCTTAGGGAATCCAAGCTGAGAAATTCAGGAATCAAGTAGTTTTCCATGAGCACTGAGGTTGAAAGACCAGGCTATGGACTGAGAGGCCTGGAGTGTGAACAGCACTTCTGGGGGAAGAGATGCTTGAAAGTGAGGAAACCATTGTGAGGAGAAAGGAGAGGCTGGGCTAAAGGAAGAGTCCCAAAGGGAAATGCAATGTCTTCTACCCACCTAGTCCTATGAGCAGATTTTGGTCCAGAAATAATTGTACTAGAGGGGTTTTTCTTCGCTGTCTAGGACCTGGTTTTTCAGCTCTTGTTGGGTTTCCCCACTTGCATAAACTTAATTTTACACCTTCACCCATTATGTGAGGTAACTTGACTGATTTTCAGTTTCTTACCAGCAAAATAACATAAATTTTTAATTTGTGCTTATTGCAGCACTATCTGTAACATTGTTAAAACAAAACAACTTAAATGATTATTAGCAAGTTAGCCATATAAACTCTGGCATTCACTTTCTCTTAAATATGATATAGTAATAAAGGATAATAATATATCTTCCATATAGTATCTAACATATTTTCTTTTACTGCTATAATGTATTGTATTATATGAAAATGATGTAGCTATTACATATATAATTATATAAATATATGTAATATGTGTATTGAGATATGATATATATTTAATTTTATAAATATATGTTTGTAAATTTACATAATTTAATAGGTATATTTCGTAGGAATATAACTATCATTCCTATGAAATGTAAAATATATCGTATATATATCTATATATTTATATACATATACACACACACTCAATCATACCATATATGTGTTAAGTGAAACAAAAGTTGCAGTGCACATCTAAAAAAAACTTTATATTTCTCTATATACATATATTTATATAATGCCTATAAATATATTGGGAAGACACATCTCTGACTATAGAAGCTACCTCTTAGAAGAGGCTTAGAAAAGCGTGATCTAACCATGTCTTTCTACCTTAATTTTTTGCTTACCCATGATAATGGATTAATACTTCTAATGTAATTAAAACGAATCCAAAACATATTTTGAAAGGAAACAAGAAAGTACACCACAAATTGCCTGTTTTATGGTTTGCTTTGTTTTTTTTTCTTCTTCCTCCCATCCTCACTGCTCAATATGTAGTAAACAAAATCATTTTGTGGTGAGTTTTCACTTCAGTGTTCTAAAATAGAAGCTAAAAAGAGAATATTAAGTTACTCTGAGGTCTGTGCCTGCTGAATTTTTTTTTCTCTTTTTTGTTTAATTTTCCACAATATGGACATGGGTAAAAATAAAACATAAACCCTGAGAACTAGAGTTTTCATCAAAATAATAAATGCCAATTGAAGAATAATTTTCAGGCACAATGGCCCAGAGGTGCTTACTTCATCTTTTAAACATGAGAGAACTTTAAAAATATTTTTAATGACTATTAAGAAAAAATAATGGGAATATTAAATCTTTTTTGTTGTGTACTATGTGTTATTGTTGTGAGTGTGTCTGTACCAGGGTCCTCATATGGATAAAAATATCAATACATTTGTTTTAGCAAAGGAAAAAATCCTCTGGGACTAGAATGTGGCAGTTTAACATGATGTTAAATTTACCAATTTAAAGATGTTTACTCTTATATAAAACCTTATCTGCACATTGACATCATGCATTTAAAAACTCATCCTATATATATATAGGAGTCCAAAGGTTCAAATAGTTGTGCTAAGAGATTTGTTTATATTTTTAATAGAGTTCTTAACTTATTTATAGAAGTAAGCACTCTAATGTAATTTTTTAAAATGATGAACTTTGGAAGGCTGAGGTGGGCGGATCACGAGGTCAGGAGATCAAGACCATCCGGCCAACACGGTGAAACCGCATCTGTACTAAAAAAAATATATATATATATATATATATATAGCCAGGCATGGTGTCGGGCACCTGTAGTCCCAGCTACTCAGGAAGCTGAGGCAGGATAGTAAAAAAATAAAAAGTAAAATAAATAAAATAAAAAGATATGCCTGGGCACAGTTACGGAGGTTCAAACCTGAACCCCCTCTGACCTTAGCAACATGGATGATGGGTTCAGGAGAGGGGATGTGTAACCTGAGGATCAGGGCTAGGCAAACAAATTCATTCTTCCCCACGAATGGAACCTGGATAGAAATGCGGAGATGGCCAATGTCCTAGTCCAATATGCAAAGACCAGGGAAAAGTACCACAGTTGCATAATGTGAAGGAAGGGGCTCATCAGTAAGAAATTACAGTCCTCCTGGACCACCGTCAAAGTCAGTGGGGAAAGCAGAGTTCTGGGTGAGTTGAACAAGAGCAGGATCCAGACCAGGGCCAGGGAGCTGACAGGAAACAGGCGAAGAGTTTGGATTGTGGCAAACCAAAGACAGAAGACAGAAACTGTTCATGGAACAGGAAGAACACAATTGGTGTTCCGAGGGCTGTCTTATTTGGCCAATATAGCAGAGGGCATGTGTCGTTATCTTGGGGAGCCACAATAGTGGTGTAGGCTCATCATTAACCAGCCTACCTCAGGTCCATGGAGAAAAACAATCAAAGAAACAAAAAATGCTGATATCAAGGATCACACACCGAAAGCACAGAATTTGTTCATGTACCTCCTTCCTTGATTAGTGTTGTTTTATAAACAGCATGGGGCAGGGCTTACTGGTGGGTCCCAAAGTAGGCACTCAATGGAAAAACTCACTACCAGTTTTGGAGAAGCACTAATATTTTTGTATAGATGTAATATCTGCTATTGCCTGAGTACTTTTGTTTTGTTTTGTTTTTTGAGAGAGGGTCTTGCTCTGTCATCTAGGCTGGAGTGCAGTGGCACGATCTTGGCTCACTGCAACTTCCACCTCCGGGGTTTAAGCCATTTTCCTGCCTCAGCCTCCTGAGTAGCTGGGATTACAGGTGCACACCACCACGCCCAGCTAATCTTTGTATTTTTAGTAGAGATGGGGTTTCACCATTTTGGCCAAGGGGGTCTCGAACTCCTGACCTCAGATGATCCGCTCACCTCAGCCTCCCAAAGTGCTAGGATTACAGATGTGAGCCACCGCGCCCAGCCTTAGGACTTTTAGTATTCAAAGAAAAGGTCAATAGCCTCCTTGATAATAAAAATAAAATGTAATCCAATGCTGCATGAAGTGTGAAGACTTCCACTTTGAAGTCCTCCCCAACTCACAATATCTTAATCATCATTTCTCACGAGTAAAAGTATTTGCTGTTACAACTTCCTAACGTTTAAGGATGAATAACCGCCTTTCAAAGCAGTTAAGTGCCATTGATCTGGGTCACACAAACTATGATATTAGAGCCAGAGCTTTAATGAAGACCTTAGCTCCCAGGTAGGCTTCTGTCCACTTGACATGGTCACCTTTCTGTGGAATTATCTCCCTCGTTCAGTTTAATTGTGTTTGCACGATGTTGGTAGACTCAGCTCAATGGTGAGATTTAATTATTTTTGTAAGGGAGAAAAATGATTACCCAAAACAGAGAACCCACTTACTGAAGCTCTATCAAAGCCATTGGTATTCAGTGTGATATTTGCAAAAGCTGCCATACTATGTAAGGTCACTGAAGAAGCACAGCTTGATTCCCTGTGCAAGATTTAGGCATGCCCCCAGCCAAACTCTCAGCCCTTGTGTCTTGATTTTAAAAGGCATTTAGCAGCAAGCTTTTCTTTGACCTACATGTTTTTATAAGTAATGGCTCATCTATGTTTGAGATTGTTCTTTTTTAGTCACCTCCCCTTAGGTACTGAATATTTTTCTGCAGCTTCCTGGATACCTAATGAACCTGCTTTGGGACCAGGTGAAATATATTTTTGGAACACTATCACCCTGCACTTCTCAGGTCATAAATTTCTTTATTATTTGCCCTGGCAGGCATTGCTACCCCAAAAGTTATTATCTATTCAATCTCAGTTCTAACCTGCAAGCAGATATGTCTGAGGAGCCAATTTATTACAGATGTAACAGCACCAGGGAAGATGAGTTTGCTTGTTTAAAGAGATGAGCGGCATTGGCAACGCTATCAATTTTCAGAAATCCTGTACATGGAATTTCTTGTAGTTATTAAAAAATCATGCATAGCAATGTTTCTATCCTTTATTGTACATTTTGTGGGACTACGCATCCATCATAGCTTGTTCCTCTCTAAATGGGCTTGTCTTTCAGAAATTGGTAGCCTTATAGAGTTTTTGCCAAGCACTAACTTGTGAGATCAGAAGACCATGCCATCTATATTTGGACCTATGTTTTTCCATGAAAGATGCAGGAAGTGTTCTTTACATGTAATTTTGCCACTCTGGGTATCAATTCCATGCAATCAATCCATTCACTTACTGATGTAATTGCATTAGGCATATCCCCAGGAAAAATAAACTGGGAGAGGAGGATGTGGGGTACAAGATAACATTGATGAGAATTGATCACGACAACACTGGCTAAAAAATATATACATATATACACACATGTAAGTGTGTGTATATATGCACACATACATGCATACATATGTGTATGTATACACACACACAATTAATCACAACTTATTGAGTAAGGCTGACCTGGGTTCTAATCTTGCTTTCTGCTATAGGAAATTGGGCAAGCCAATGACCTTCCTTGAATATGTTTTATGTTTAATCTATAAAAAATAACAAAACCTGTCTGTTAAAAATGTTATGATGATTCAATAACACTTTTAAAGCTACTAGCATAAGTCCTGGCACTGAATAGTTATTATTAATCTTAAATTATTATTAATTATGAAAATATTAATGATCAATATTTGAAGTAACTTCCTTTACAAATAAATGTCTAATATTGGATTTAAAAAGGGCCACTAATATGCATGCAATTAACTATAAAACCAGGCTGTAAAATAGAAAATCTCAATACAAGGAGAAAAAAAAAAAGTACTCTGCTGGTGATCTCTTGCTGAAGAGATCAAAGGACATCTTGGGAGGAAGTATAGATTGAGGCACACTTTAAAGGATGAGTTATTCAGGGCTCTTTGATTTGCAAGGGACAGAAACTGAACTCTAAATAAGTTAAACTAAAAAAAGGAATATATTGGTTCACATCTGGCTTCAGGCACAATTGGATCCAGCTTTTCAAATGAAGTTTTAAGGACCCTGGCATCTTTTTTTCTTTTTGAGTTCTAAATCCCTCTGTGTGTTGGGAGAATCATGACATATTCAAGCATAAAATTTTATGACTCATATCTAAAGGAAAAGATAGTCTTTCCCAAAATGTATATGGTACACCATAGGGAAAACTATAATTTGCCCTGCTTTGGTTAATTGTTCTTCTCAGACCAATTGCTATGGCCAGGAAAGATGGAGTACTCACTGGACAGCTTGGTTTGCATGCCCAGCTTTACGATGAGGAGGTGGTTGCTGTGATCAACAGTCTCACCAGAACCACCCGGAATGATGGCAGAATAGTTTCTCAAATAAAGTGGTGTTCTTGGAAGAAGAAGTAGTAAGAAGAGAAGAAGGGTATAAGACTAGAAATGTTAAAATAATAGGTGTCTCAGGAAGAGATCCAGTATAAGGGGGATTCATGATGGAATATACAAGGAAAGCTATTGAGGAAGGAAAACTGCATATAGCATTCAACCAGTAATTTATAATACATTTCACTAAACCTGAGATTCTCACATGCTATCCCTCAGTAGACCAAACAATGCTTGCTTCAATAACCAATACGTAATAGAAAACAATTATTTCTTTCTCAAAGAATAAATAAATAAGTGTGTGCTTGGCTGAAAAAAATGTACTTTTCACTTAAAATTGTTTTATTCCCGGCCGGGCACGGTGGCTCACGCCTGTAATCCCAGCACTTTGGGAGGCCAAGGTGGGCGGATCACGAGGTCAGGAGACCGAGACCATCCTGGCTAACACGGTGAAACCCCGTCTCTACTAAAAATACAAAAAAAAAATTAGCCGGGCGTAGTGGCAGGCGCCTGTAGTCCCAGCTACTCGGGAGGCTGAGGCAGGAGAATGGCGTGAACCCGGGAGGCGGAGCTTGCAGTGAGCCGAGATTGCGCCACTGCACTCCAGCCTGGGCGACAGAGCTAGACTCTGTCTCAAAAAAAACAAAAAACAAAACAAAACAAAAAACTGTTTTATTCCCATTTTACCAATAATAAAACTGACCTGGAGAAGTTTAGTGTCCCACCTGAGACCATGCAGCTAAAAGCTTAGAAATTTGAGGTTTTATCTCAGTTACCTCTGGCCCCATGTTGCCTTTTCCTGCCAGTCTCCCACAACTTTCTCGTCTGCAAACTGTTGCTATTTCCAAAGCCAGCTCACAGAAACCTGAACCACTGAGACTCATTGGCCATATTTTGTTTCCAACAATTCTGTTCTTCAATCTTTTGCTTGAGACTTTGAACAAAATAACATTTGTATGCCAATGACTCATAGACTTCTAGACATTCTAGAGTTGGAAGGAACCTCAAGAGCCATGAAGTCTAAAATACATGTCCAGAGAACTATGTTTAAGTAACCATTCCTGTCGAAGAAAGTAAGGTGGAAAGCCATGGCCTCTCTTCTCTGTTCTCTGCTGACTGACTTACTACTCTGACTACTCAAGTTTGTTCTCTAAACATGACTCTAACAAATGCCCAACAGGCTCTCCTTGAATAGAGTTGCAGGAGGTTACAGAAATAATGAAAGGACATGAATCTTCTTCCCCTGTGCAAACACGGGAACATGGCTCCCCTGGGTACAAGGAAGCCGGTGCTCACTAGGATCTGACATATGGAACACCACATTTAAAAATAACAAGACTGAAGATGCTGTATTGCTTTTACTTACCCCATCCATCCACCTCCTCACATCCTAAATCCCCTTATCATTTAATAAAGACAGCCACCTGTTTGGCTCAAGAACTTAAGCCAGCCTGGCTGAAGTGGAAGGGAGTTGGAGGGGGAGTGTAGACAGGGAACTACTCTGTGTGTGGTCTCTCCCACTGGACTTTCCGATTATGGTGAAGTATAGAGGCAACTTGCTTCTTCTCCATCCCTATCCTCAGCTCTCAGTTTGAAGAAAACCTTCACGTTGTTGCTGCTAACCGCTAATAGCATGATTCCATATCTCCAGCTTCTAATGGAGTTTAGAAAAGCCTTATGTTCTCTGTTAATATGAGTGTTTATCCAAGGATAATATGTCCCTTCACTTTCATCCAAAATCCCTGGGTGCTTATTAAACATCCAGACTCCAGGAGCCCATGCCAAACCCACTGAAATATAATCTTTGAGCATCTTAAACTATTTTAAAACTCCCTGGCAAATTATTTTACAAACAAAAGTGTGAGAACCTTAACCTCTCATTCCTCTGCATTTTTTTTCATTTTGGGTGTATCCTCACTGAACAAAACAGGTGGAGGAAACCACTTGAGAAGCAGAATGAGAATAAGAGGTGTGTCCGGGGGAAAGGGGTATGGGACAGGCTGCTTCCTCAAGTCCTAGTCTAAGCCTGGGACCAAAGGTGCACTTAAAAATCAGTAGTAGCATAGCCTTGTTCATGAGGCCAGGTGACTCCCCAGGGATTTAGAACTAAAGCTCTGCTTAGATTTAATGTATATTGACCTAAAGTTCATTTTGCACTATAGGTTGACCTAAAGTAACATTTTTCAATCTTGAGGTCAAGACCCACGGTGGCCATGAAATTAGTTCAGTGAACCGTAGCCATCTTAAAAGAAAAATAATGTTATAATAATAATTGAATGAAAATATCAGAAACATTTTGCATTGTAAGAATAAGAATTTTTGTCTGAAAGTTCTGTTTCAGATGTGTATGTGTGGGTGCATCCTGGGTTAAGAAGTTCTGTGTATTTCTTTCTGTGGGTTGGAGTCAAAAAAGTTTCAAAATCGTTGAACTAGGGAACCCAGAGTACCAATCTGTTAAAAGTTTACATGTATTTACTTACAGTTCCCATTGTACAGATGGGAAGACTAAGGCTAAGATACAGTGGTACAATGAGGACTCTAAAGTATTTTAACCACAAAGTCCAATAGGCTAAAGACAGAGGACCAGGGAGAAAGTAAACATCATCTTATTGTACGGTCCGCTTAGGTCCTGATTCACCATCTCTCTATGCCATTTAAATAACCTGACCTGCTAACCTGGCACTCCTCATCCCGATCTTTACCCCATGATGTCCTAAGTATATTATTGATAAGCATTTCTACATGGTAAAAGATCTTTGCATGAATTGCTGTGCAGTGTTGTGTTTTTAATGCTGTTTGACAGGAACCTGTGAGGAGTTGATAGAGTCTTATTTGTTTAGCTCTTACTGAAGGTCAGAACCAAGATTCACTGCCCTCACTGCAGAAATGCCATTAATATTCACATCCTCTCTCCAATTTCAAAGGCTCCTTGTTAAGGGCTCTTCCAGGGGCTTTCAATGGCAGCTTTGTTTACTGCCTTAAGAATCTCTTCAAAAAATTAACCAATACCTACTTAATACATAAGACTCAGTTGGTGGCAAGTGACAGAAAACTAGACTCAAACTAGTTTAAGCAGAGAGAAGAACCCTATCCTTTCAAGTAAATTAAGCATGAGGAGGAGAGCTAGCTAGCCTCAGGTCTGGGCATGGCTGGGCACAAATGATAGAATCAGGATGGGGATTCTCTGCTGCCATGTTTCAGCTCTGCTTCCTGGATATTGAATCCACTCTCGGAGATGATCTCCCTTAGTGGTTACAACAAGATTACCAAAGCAGCCCCTAGTTTTGATTATCTTCCATTCTCACTCAGTATCATCAACTTTGAATGAGTGACCTGCCCATCCCTAAACCAATCACATAATCACTGTGGCTATGCAACGTGATATGATGATTGATGGAGCCCCACATAAGGACATTAGATTGAACTAAAGTGTACTCCCATCCTCACCCCATAGAAATAAATATGAGGAAGCAGTTACCAGAAGGCTCAATGGATCCTAGATGTTAGAAGTTCAGGCTGCGTTCTGTGTTAGGAACTCTAGGGCAGGATACCTTAACCTTGAAAAACTTACAATATAGGCTCAGTCATGTAGCAGTTACTCTGCATGTGTGTACTACATACAGCTTCAGGTGTTGAGCACCAGGAGAGATCTCTGAAGAAAATGCAAGCATTCTTTATGGGAAAATTTGCAGTCTAACGTCAGAAAAAAATGCACATCATTAATAACTTTAAATTTCATGAGAAAAAATACTAAGTAAAATTCGTTCTTTTATCTGGTGGAAATTGTGGAAGGCAGAATATATAAAGTTCAAGCCAAACCTTTCAGCTTAGATAGGATTTGGATGCGATGGGAAGATATAAATTTTTCCATGTGATGAATCTACATAGATTGAACAAATATGGCAATGTAGGGGAGAAGCAGGAGGCTGAAACATTTGCTACTGCAGAGGGACAGTGTGAGAAGGAGAAAGATCCCCAAAGGGAGGGACCAGTGTACCAAATGCCAGGCTTCTGTGGTATTGATATAGAGTAAGTTCAGCTGTACAACAGGAAATCTACCAGGCAATATTGGGCTTAAGGGGGAAATCTGAGAGTAGGGGAAGTTATTCATCCATACAAGGCACTATATGAGCATATATTTTACAGGTGTAGCAGGAATGAAAAACAGGGATTGGTTATGAATGTGACATCAGACACAGAGGTGATAGCCTAGCAGTTCCTTAGACGGGGACAGTCCTGGTCAAGGAAGTAAAAGTTGAGTTTATTCTCCACATTTTATGATAGCAAAAATCATGGACCTTTGAGTGCTATTTACTCAAGGGAAATGTGTTTGGGAGTGAACATCTCTAAATTGTTTATTAGCAATTATCCTGGTTTTCTTGAGACTGATTTCCAGGGGAGTACAGAATTGCTACATGAGCAAGTTAATGCTTTGGATTGGAAATTTCTGGGAATTTGGAGTTAGTCCTACTTGAGTTCCATCCCAATTTTTGGGGGCTAGTCATCTACTATTATTTCCTTCCTTAAAAATGGATCTAAAAAAACAACACTGTAGGATTATTGTGAAGTTTGAGATTTGCATAAGCAATTCCCATTTAATAAATATTAACTAAATATTATATAATTCTTAGAGCAATACTAAAAATGACATTGACAATATCTTCATTTTATGTCATATAAGGAGATCAGTGAAGAAGAATGGGAATCAGAGGGAATGAGACTTAGTCAAGTTCTTTGCAGCTAGCAAATGGCAAAGCTAACATTGAGATCCATGCAGATGTGAGTGAAAGCCTGCACTGTTTTTGCTGCTCTCCACATTTGGGTAAGTGAAGTGACTTCTTAAATTTTAGAATCTAACATTTCACAAAGGCCTACCAATTGCCATCATTTAAATATTAGTTCATGATATCAGTGTTCTGGTCAAGGAACTATATATTATACATGTCTCTGAGGTCACTTGGGGTTTTTAACATGGCATAAGCATTTGTAATATTACATGATAACCTGAGTGAATGTATTGTATGTTTGAATAAAAACGCGTTCCAATGTCAATTAACATTTTGTTATACAGATGTTCTAAGATTGAAGAAGAAATATGCTAATTAATACCTCCCCCAAATCCTGGGATAAAAATGAAAGTATTATATTATCCACTTGATGATCAACACAAAAATTAGACAACAAATGAGAAGCTCCCCCTCCAGGCTTAATGAGTGATGAGTTTAGGTAAGGAAGTTGGTTAGAGTTGATCCTCCTCATACAGACATCTGTTACTAAACAATATTTTTTTTTTACCATCTTCTTTTTATTAGTATTATTATTAACTTTGATGGTGGCCAAACATTCTTGCTGTTTCCTTTGGGTCCTAGAGATATAAAACAACCCACATAAAATAGCTGTTATCCCAAATGCCAAACTACGGGGAAAGAGTATAATAAGATGGGCCAACGTATGGACAGGATGTAAAATATTTGCAATCCCTTAGTGTCATAGAGAACAGGGAGGAATCCAAGCCTGTCTGGGGATTGGGGGTACTGGGAGCACTCTCCTAGAGGATAAGGGGTTTTGGGGGCTTCCTGCTTGTATTTTGCTTATAAATGGCTTAAGTTTTTCTCTGCAAAGAGAGTTTGCCAACAAGATTGTAGCACCATTAAGACTTGATAGACATTCGTAGATCTTTGTGTTGAAATGCAATCTTTTATTTTGCTTCAAAGATGTAAAATAAATGTCATCCAAATTACCTCCCATTTATTTTCCCTTTAATTCTAACTTTCTTGTTGAAAGGGTTAATGTGACCCTGTTACTAGGTAAAATTGAATAAAACTCTCTTTTTCCATGGTCCATAAGGCCCTGAATAGTCTGGCCTTCAGAGACATTGTCTATCACTTGTTGCTCCACTTTCCTTCTCAGCAACATTCTCCCTCAGCAACACTGATTTCCTTTTATTTTCTTCTATTGCAAGACCTTTACACATTTTATTTCCTCTGCCTGAACGTTTCTCCCAACCCCTGCCCCACTGTCAATTACTCTTTATCGCACGACCCTGTGCATCTCCTCTGTATAATTATTGCTATGTAAGATTAGTTGATCTGTTTACTTTTTAATTAGTTAAAACTGATTGAATACTTATTATGTGTCAGCCAATTTCTAAGTATTTACAGTTATTAAAACCTTCGATCTTCATTATACTAACAGAGTAGGTAACATAATTAACCTCCATATTTTTGACCAAGAAACTGAGACGTATTGAAGTTAATTACTCATAACTAGATAGTAAGTAGAAGGGCCTAGATTTGAACCTAGGAAGTCTCGATCCAGAGTCTCTTCTCTTAATTACAGTCATGTATGCCTCTCTGCCCTGTATATTATTTCTCTCTCACAATTTAAATTGAAAATTTTAGGGATTATTGTACTTGCATGCATTATGTCATTGTATTTTTATTTAAAATGCACACGTCAACGCAACGTTTCACAAATTTGGCTTTTCCCCATAGCTAACATATATCTGCTAACCAATAACTAACACATAACTAACTGCATATCAGGCATAGTTCTGTTTGTGTTAATATTTATAATCCAGAACTGAAAGGCAGGTTTTGTTAAAAAAAGAACTTAATTCATTGAAGAGCTTCAAATGACTATAGACCCATAAGCAAATGTTCAGCGTTAATACTCATTAATGAAATAAGATACCATTTCCTACCTTTCTAATTAACAAGGATGTAAAAATAAATAATATGCACTGTTGGCAGGAGTACAGGGAAAGGACTTTGTCATAGATTAGTGGTGGGAGGAAAAAATGTTGACAGCCTTAGTGCAATGCAAGTTTGGCAACACGTAACCAAGGATTGCAAGTTTACCTTGGCCTTGGATGCAAAAGAAATTTATTTCTAGTAAATTAGTATTTTCTAAAAAAAGCAAAGAGTCAGACTAAGACCTGGGTTGAGAAATTTTCATGGTAGGACTGTGTTGTGTGTGTGTATGCATGAGTAAAATAAAATGATAATGATCATGTAAATATCCAACTGTAGCCAGTTAGTCATTTGAGCATTACTAGGTCCTTACTATGTGTAAGACCCAAAGTAGGAACTGGGGATGTGGTAATGAATGAGTGAGGTAGGAGGGTAGCTGTTACCTTTTTGGGGTACAGTTCATCTTGAAGTTGATCAAGTAAGTACTGTTAAACCCACAATGTGGAATGATAACTATGGCTATCACATTATAATGAGGACTTTCAAGAGCATACTTTTTTTAACTTTTAAGTTCAATGGTACACATGCACGTTTGTAATACAGGTAAACTCATGTCATGGGGGATTGTTGTACAGATTATTTCATCACCCAGGCATTAAGCCTAGTACCCATTAGTTATAATTCCTGATCTCTCCCTCCTCTCACTTTCCACACCCTGGTATGTCCCAGTGTCTGTTGTTGCCCTGTGTGTGTTCATGTCTTCTCATATTTTAGCTCCCACTTATAAGTGAGAACATGTGATATTTGGTTTTCTTCCTGTTTTAGTTTGCAAAGGATAATGGACTTCAGCTCTATCCATGTTCTTGCAAAAGACATGATCTCACTCTTTTTTATGCTCTAAGGTATATATGGAACACATTTTTTAACCCACCCTGCCATTGATTAGCACTTAGGTTGATTCCATGTCTTTGTTATTTTTAGTAGTGCTACGATGAACACACATGTGCATATGTCTTTATGATAAAATTATTTATATTCCTTTGGCTATATACCAGTAATGAGATTGCTGAGCCAAATGGCAGTTCTGTTTTTAGGTATCTGAGGAAACATCACATTGTTTTCCACAATGGTTGAACTAATTTACACTCCCACCAGCAATGTATAAGAGTCCCTTTTTCTCCACAACCTCACTAGTACCTTATTTTTTGACTTTTTAATAGTAGCCATTCTGTCTGGTGTGAGATGTTATCTCTTTGTGATTCTGATTTGCATTTCTTTAATGATTAGTGATGTTGAGTTTTTTTTCATGTGATTGTTGGCCACATGTATGTCTTCTTTTGAAAAGTGTCTGCTCATCCCCATTGCCTACTTTTTAATTCTTTTTTTTTGGAAATTTGTTTACATTTCTTAAAGATTCTGGATATTAGAACTTTGTCAGAAGCATAGTTTGCAAAAATTTTCTCCCATTCTATAGGTTGTTTGTTTACTGTGTTGATAGTTTCTTTTGCTGTGCAAAAACTCTTTAATTTAATTAGACCGCATTTGTCCATTTTTTTGCTTCTGTTGCAATTGCTTTCGGTGTCTTCATCATGAAGTCTTTATCCATTCCTATGTCCAGAATGGTATTGCATAGGTTATCTTTCAGGATTTTTATAGTTTTGGCTTTTACATTTAAGTCTTTAATCCATCTTCAGTTAATTTTTATGTATTGTGTAAGGAAGGGGTCCAGTTTCAAACTTCTGAAAATGGCTAGCCATTTATCCCAGCACCATTTATTGAATAGAGATAATTTCCCTATTGCTTGTTTTTGTCAGCTTTGTAGAAGATCAGATAGTTGTAGGTGATACAACCTTATTTCTGGGCTCTCTATTCTATTCCATTAGTCTATGTGTTTGTTTTTGTACCAGTACCATGCTATTCTGGTTACTATAGTCTTTTAGTATAGTTTGAAGTTGTATAGTGTGATGCCTCCAGCATTGTTCTTTTTAGTTAGGATAGCCTTGGCTATTAGGGCTCTTCTTTGGTTCCATATAAATTTTAAAATAGTTTTTTTTCTAGTTTTGTGAAGAATGTAATTGATAGTTTGATAGGAATAGCACTTAGTCTATAAATTGCTTTGGACAGTATGGCTATTTTAACAATATTGATTCTATCCATGAGCATGGACTGTTTTTCCATTTGTTTGTGTCATTTTTTATTTCTTTGTACATCATTTTGTAATAATCCTCGTAGAGATCTTTCACTTCTCATGTGAGCCATATTCCTAGGTATTTTATATTTTTGTGGCAATTGTGAATTTGATTGCATTCCTAATTTGTCTTTCACCTTGACTGTTGTTAGTGTACAGGAGTGCTAGTGATTTTTTATGTTTATTTTGTATCCTGAGATTTTGCTGGAGTTGTTTATTAGCTTAAGGAGCTTTGGGCCACAACTCTGGGCCCAAATGTAGATGCAGGATCATGTCGTCTGCGAATAGGGACAGTTTGACTTCCTCTCTTTCTATTTGGATATGTTTTATTTCTTTCTCTGCCTAATTGCTCTGGCCAGGACTTCCAATACTATGCTGAATAGGAGTGGTGAGAGAGGGCATTCTTCACTTATGTCAATTTTCAAGGAAAATGCTTCCAACTTTTGCCCATTTAGTATGATTTTGGCTGTGGGTTTATTATAGAGGGCTCTTATTATTTTGAGGTATGCTCCTTCAATACCTAGTTTATTGAGAGTTTTTAACGTGAAAGGGAGTTGAATTTTATTGAAAGCCTTTTCTGCATCTATTGAGATAATCATGTGGGTTTTATCTTTAGTTCTATTTATGTGATGAATCACATTTATTGATTTGTGTACATTGAACCAACCTTGCATCCCAGGGATAAAGCCTACTTGATCATGATAGATACGCTTTTTGATGTGTTGCTGGATTCAGTTTTCCAGTATTTTGTTGAGGTTTTTCGCGTCAATATTCATCAAGGATATTAGCCTAAAGTTTCGTTGCTGTTGTTGTGTCTCTGCCAGGTTTTGGTATCAGGATGATGCTGGCCTCATAGAATGAGTTAGGGAGGGGTCCCTCCTCCTCAATTATTTGAAATAGTTTCAGTAGGAATGGTACCAGCTCTTCTTTGTATATCTGGTAGAATTTGGCTGTGAATCAGTCTGGTCCTAGACTTTTATTTATTGGTAGGCTATTTTTTACTGATTCAGTTCTGGAGCTCATTGTTGGTCTGTTCAGGGATTCAATTTCCTCCCAGCTCAGACTTGGGAATGCGTATGTATCCAGGCATTTATCCTTTTATTTTAGATTTTCTAGTTTATGTGCAAAGAGATGTTCATAACATTTTCTGAAAATTATTTGTATTCTTTGGGTCAGTGGTAATATCCTTTTTATGCTTTCTAATTGTGTTTATTTGGATCTTCTTCTTTTCATCTTTATTAATTTAGCTAGTGATCATTTTATTTTTTCAAAAATCCAACTCATGAATTCATTCATCTTTTGGGTTGTTTTTGTGTCTCAATCTCCTTCAAGTCAGCTCTGTGTTTATTTCTCATCTTATGCTAGCTTTGGGGTTAGTTTGCTCTTACTTCTTTTGTTCTTTTAGCTGTGATGTTAGGTTATTAAATTGAAATCTTTCTAACTTTTTGATGTGGGCATTTTGCGCTATTAATTTCCCTCTGCATTGCCTTAGCTGTGTCCCAGAGATTCTGGTATGTTGTATCTTTGTTCTCATTAGTTTCAAAGAACTTGATTTCTGCCTTAATTTCACTATTTACCAAAAGTCATTCCTGGAGTTATTCAATGTCCATATAAATGTTATGGTTTTGAGTGAATTTCTTACTCTTGATTTCTAATTTGATGGTGCTGTGGTCCAAGAGAGTGGTTGTCATGATTTCAGTTATTTTGCATTTGCTGATGAGTATTTGCATTTGCTGAGGCATGTCCAATTATGTGGTCAACTTTAAAGTATGTGCCATGTGGTGATGAGAAGAATATATATCCTGTTGCTTTTGGGTGGAGAGTTCTGTAGATGTCTGTCAGCTCCATTTGAACCAGTGCTGAGTTCCGGTCCTGAATGTCTTTGTAATTTTCTGCCTGATGATTTGTTTAATATTGTCAGTGGAGTGTTGAAGTCCCCATTATTATTGTGTGGGAGTCTAAGTATCTTTGAAGGTCTCTTAGAACTTGCTTTGTGAATTCAGGTGCTCCTGTGTTGGCTGCATATATATTTAAGATAGTTAGGTCTTCTTGTTGAATTGAACACTACCATTACAAGAGCATAAATTTTAAGTAATGACATTTAAACAATATTTAAATAACATTGATTAAGAACCTGTGGAAAAAGTTAGTGATGAAGTTAGATAGTAAATGAGTTTATGTTTGCATATAGCAGATAACATGTAGTACATATAAATACATAAACACACATATAGACAAAGAAAACCACAGATAGGAAATTACCAAAATGTTAATGGTGACTACACAGAAAGTGGAAATTTATAAATTTTTATTTTCCTTTTTCTACTCTAAGGTTTCCACTATGAAACATACAAATAGATTACTCAGGAAAATAATACTATTAACACCAAAAAACTCAACTAAAACAGGTGTTTATATAGATTGTCCACCAAACTTTTCTGTCCCGAGGCTGTTAAGTTTCTGCGTCTGTTTGGAAATGAGAAATCCATTTCTTCCCCAGCTCATTGGCTGGCAACTCATCCCTCTGAATCTAATAAAAACAGATGTCTGCCTCCAGAAACAATCAGGTCCCCTCACCTTGCAGTTTCTCCAGCATCCTCCCCTTCGTTCATCACACGGTTTACTGCATCATGTTTTAATATTAGTTAGTTTGTTCTTAACTCTCCCCTATTCTACTGTGAGTTCTTAAAGAGGATGCAAGCATCCAAGTCATAGTTGGGACTCAGAATTTATAGAATTAGTTATAGCTAATTAGGTAATAATTAAATATATAAAGATAAAAACGAAGAAAACTCTGGTGATTAATACAAAATAGCACATCATTAAAAGAGAGGCCATTTCTTCATATTTTTTTCAACTTTTATTTTAGATTCATGGAGTACATCTGCAGGTTTGTTGCAAGGGTATGTTGGGTGATGCTGAGGTTTGGACTTCGACTGATCTGATCACCTAGATAGTGAGGCTAGTACCCAATAGGGAGCTTTTCAACCCTTACTGCCCCTCCCTCTCTCACCCCTTTTAAAGTCCGCAGTGTCTATTGTTTCCATCTTTATGCCCATGAGTACCCAATATTTAACTCCCAGTTATCAGTGAGAATATACAGTGTTTGGTTTTCTGTTTCTGTGTTAATTCGCTTAGGACAATGGCCTTCAGCTGCATCCATGTTGCTGCAAAGGACATGATTTCATTCTTTTTTATGTGTAGTATTGCATGGCATACATGTACCATATTTTTAAAATCCAATCCACTGTCTCGAATCTGACACAGCTGGGTCATGAGCCTGTCCCAGCCTCTATCTGTGTGATCATAGGCCAGTTGCTTATACCCTAGGTGACCTAAATTCCTCCTGTGCAAATTGACTGTGTGATAGTGGTGAGAATGTTATAAATAACAGGAGTGAATTGTTGGACACATAGTAGGAGTTTACAGTATTCTGGGGGAATGTTATTTTCAAGTTTATATTCAATTTAGGAAATAGTTTATTGTCTTTTTTCATAGGCTCTGTCTTTGATTTTTAACTTCTAAATTAACTCATCAGTACTCATTTGACAGATTTTTAATTACGTGTCTTCAAAAAGTTGATGTTCTAGACTGGCTTTTTAAATGAACAAATAGCAAACTTTGTTTCAAAAAGAGGTTCTCTCTCTCTCTCTCTCCTTCTCTCTGTGTGTGTATGTGTGTGTGTGTGTGTGTGATTTCATTTATTCATACATGATTTTCTTATAAAATAATATCCTGCTGAAACCAGGCTCCTCTGTTTATAGATAAGAAAACGGAGGAAAGTAGAAGAAAGAATAGAATTTACTTTTACTTTTCATTACAAAACCATTTTTGAAACACTGTGCTAGGCACATTATATTCAGGCTCTTAATGCACTGCTGGTCCTCGTGTTTTGCATAAAGAAAGCCTGGAGAGCTTGGAGAGTTTCAGAGGAATCTGAAATAAAAATCGGTCTGTCTTGGCCCAAAATCAATCTGAGAGAGGTGAAGTGAGCTGAGATCTATGCCTCCTAACTTCCAGCCTTAGGTTGGTGCCTTCACATAATTTTGTAGCAGAGAAAAGAGCAGCCTGTGCTCCCACCCTCCCACCCTGTGCCTGCTAACCATCCTACTTGGATACATTGCTTCAATCTGTACCCCATTGTGAAGCCATGTCATTAACGAGACACCAGGAACAAACAGAAATTGTTCTTTCTCATGTGGCTCTGCTACAAGCTGCCTAATTGGGATTTATGGGTGCCCATGATAAAATTTCTGCATAATAAAATCCTGAGGTTTCTCTTGAACAAACAAAGCTTCAGTGACTGAATAGATGGGTCAAACATGCATCCAACTGCAAGTGTGTGTGTGTTGGGGGCAGGAGAGAAAGGTTGTTTACACAAATTAGACCAATATGAAAGTCTACAGCTTTAAATAATGTCTGTTTTTGCCAATTCAGACCTGAAGTGGATTTTCTTCAAGCTTTTCACCCAGTATCCTTGAAGAGCCATTCACCATGTCTGGACCTTTGCGGTTTGTCTTCCTCAGTATCATCCTCACCTCTGATTCCTGAGTCTGATATATCAACTTGTGAGCCCAGCACAAATGGCATAATCCCAGTTGGATACCATCATTTTCTCTTCTTCAGTGAGGATGATAAGCAGCAACAACAATGATAATAATAAGCAGCAGCAACAATGAGGATTGTGACTCATCATCTTTGACTAGTGCCAAATAGGTAGGAGAAAGCCTTTTATTAATTAATCCTCATATCATCCAACTACAAGTAAGGCAAGGAGAAATGATCATCCAACTACAAGTAAGGTAATGAGAAATGAGCTTCCTTTGTAAATGAGAAAAGTAATGCTCAGAGAGTGGAAGTAACTTGCCCAAGGCCAGGGAGCGAAAGCATAGCAGATCCAGTGTGTGTATGCCATTGTTTTCTGTAAGAAGTCTTTCACCATCACTTAAGATCTTTAACCAAATCCATTTATTAAAATGCTTGATTTAATTAGATATTGACAGAAACAACATAAACTATTAAATAGGGTATCTAGAAAGCCTCGAGGAAGAGAAAGCACATGAGCTTGGTTTGATCACCAAGGAGAATTTCTGTGAGTGACGCTGTGGAGACATTGGAAATGATGATTAAAGACATGAATATGCTTGACACATATAGAGAAGCCTGTGTTGCTGGAGTTTATAATATTATTGTTATCCTCACCCCAAACCAGATTTCCTGGTCTATGGATGTCACAACCATCAGCCTTGTTGTTCAGACCAAAACTTTAGGAGTCATTCTCAATTTATCTTTTTTTCTTTCGAGCCTATATTTAAACCATTGCCACCCACCAGAAATCCACTGATGAACCTACAATCATTTCTGGCTTCCAAGAGTGTGCAGCCTCCTGACAGTCTCCCTCTTCTGCCTTCACCACCTTGCCTCACACTTTGCCCTCCGTAGGGTTGTGGGGTAAGGTTTCTAACAGGTAACCGAGACAACGCTACCCTCTTCCTTAAAACCCTCCAATATAATTGAAGGTATTATGTAAATTTTGTTCATTTTAGGTGTAACAGTGGCATTAAAGTTATGCTTTAAAAAGAGTTGTTGTATTTAGAATACTGAAAGTAGGAATATTTAGAGATGACATTTTATAATATCTGGTATTTTCTTCAGAAGAGGTGGAAAAAGTGGATGCGGATATGAATATACAAATCTGTTTGCCAAAAGCTCAGGTGATTAATGACATTAACACAAGGCAACTTATTATGCTAGTTTATCAACTCATATTTGAAGTTGTTTATTTAAAAAATAAAAAAATAAATAAACTGGTGGACTTCCACTGAAAGCTGAATACAACACAAATTCCCACCCATAGCCTACAAAACGGTGTGTGATCTGGCCCATGCCTGCGGCTTGATGCTTCTTTCTCCCCATTGTTCCCTCTGTTCCTGATTCACTGACCTTTCTGGACTTTGAAAATGCCAAGCTCTTCCTATCTCAAGAGCTTTGAACCCACTCATTCTTCTGTTTGGCATTTCTTTCTCTTAACCTTGAGGTGTCCATTTCCTCTCAAATGAGGTCTCACCTCAAAGCAACCTCCATAGAGAGACCTTCTCTGATCACTGCAGAAAAATTATACAGCACACTCTCTCCACTCTCCACCATATTGTTCTGCTTTATCTTCGTAGCATTTTAAAGCTATTCATCTGTTTCTTTACATGTTTTTTAGTCTACTCTATTACAATGTGACTCCCTTAAAGTCAGGGAATTCTATCTTGTTCATTCAGGTTATTCAGTATTAAAAGACTTGTTGGGGATTAGTAGTCATTCAGAACATACTGGCTGACAATTTGCAGTTCACTTACAGTGGTGCTCTAACTTCACAAACCCCAGTGAACTGTATTTATTGTCCTTACAATGACCAGACAGTGTCACTGGCATTTAGAGCCCAAGGAGTCATAGATACCAAAAGTCTTGCCAAGCGTGGAGCACTGTCCCATCCAATGAAGAATTGTCCTGCCCCGAATTCCGATAATTCCATTTTAAAAACCTGGGCTACAGAATGGCATTTAGGGATGCTGATGTTGGCAGAAACTTGACATTACAGGGAGTCGTGTGGAATAAAGCACTAGAGAAAAATCAGGATTAGACCAGGACAGGCCTTCTGAACACCATCATAAGGAATTTGAAATTTATTTTGGAAGTTGTATTCATTTTCCATTGCTGCCATAATACATGACCATAAAGTTAGTGGCTTAAAATAACGCAAATGTGTAATCCCATAGATCTGTAGGTCAGAAGTCCAGGTGGACCCATTTGAGTCCTCTGTACAGGGTCTTGCATGACCAAAATCAGGCCATGCTCTTATCTAGAGGCTCTGGAGAATTCATTTCCAAGCTCCAGAGGTTGTTGACTGAATTTGGCTCTTTGAGCCTATAAAACTTAGTTCTGTTTCCTTGGTGACATCAACGAGGGGCCTGACTTTGCTCTTAGGTGCTGCCCACAAACTTGGTCGTGCTCTCCAAGCAACAGAAGGTGGAGTCGCTCTCGTGCTTTGAATCTCTCTGGCTTCTGCCACAACACTAACTCCAGCTAGAGAAAGTTCTCTGCTTTTAAAGACCTGCATAATTAGTTTGGGGCCACCTGGATAATCCAGGTTATTTTCACTGCTTTAAAGTTTGTAACCTTAACTAAATCAGCAATGTCCTTTGTTCTGTTTAACGTAACACAGTCACAGGTTTCAAGAATGAAGGACTGGGACACCTTTGGGCAGCCATTCTGCCTACTGTAGGAGTCACTGAATGTTCTAAAAGAGCTAAAACACATTGCCTAAATCCATTTAAATAAGTTTTTATTTCTCTGTGGGTATTTGTTAGCAATAGGCTTCCTACTCCTCTAGGAACTATGGCAGTGAAGCCTGCAGGGACTCTGCTGGGAAAGCCATTATAAACCAGCAGCTGAATGTCAATCCAAGTGATACTGTAGCCCCAGCTCCAAATAGATAAAGCAGAGAAAGAGGGAGTGTGTCTCCTTCCACAAACAGTGGGTCTCAGCTGTGTCACCATTTCTGGGAATTTATGAGTAAAGCACATGCCAGGGGGCATGGAGAGCTTCTCTCCCAGAAGCAGATGCTGCTGATCCCCACAAAGAAGCCACCTCACTCTTCAGTCCTCCCAGATACTGCCTGCCAGATGGCCACAGCTGAATTCACAGCTGAGTAGATGTCTGCTGTTGGCACCAAATACGCTTCTTTGGGACTGGTTAAGGACCTGAGGTTGTATGGTGGGGCTTCAAATACACACAAAGAATAAAAGCACTCGGGGAGTGCCAGGCACTGTGCTAAGCACTTTGCAGGTGTTAACTCAACCTTCACAATATTATCATGTGGATGGTGTTATTCTCATGCTCATTTTATACAGGGAGGGACCAAGGCTTAGAAAGGTTGAGTAGCTTACCAAAGGTCATAGAACCAGCAACCTGCAGAACTTGTGTTTGAACAGAAGCAGTTCTTTCTCCTGAGTCTGTGATTTTAGACACTGCACTAGCTGATGCTGCACGCATCTCATGTCAAGAAATTTTTAGCCTTCTTCTCCAGTCTGCATAGCATCCAATCTCATTTTGCACCAGCTCAGATATGCCCAAATCTGAGCAGTTGCCAGCTGATGTACTACCCTCATTTACAGATCAGTGACCCAGAATATTTCCCTCCTATGGCATGGCATGTAAAGCTGGTGAGTGGAAAATTGAAGCTGATGCCAAAAAGGATGTATATAGCCAAGGTAACATGGAGAATTGAAGCTAAATGTAGAATGGAGCCAGACGAGGGTGCAAAGTGAGAGAAAGTAATGTCTGACTCTAGACTCACCCTAGGAATTGTGAGTAGCCAGTATGAAGTTGTGCATACAGAGGAGATACTGTCATCCGGAGATACTGTGAACAAATACTATATGGGTTTTTTATTGTGTGCTGGGGACTAAATTATGCCCATTACACAGATTCTATCATTTGTATAAGAAAACTTATACCTGGTTTATAGATGGAGAGCCTAAGAGTGAATGACTTATCCTGCTCCAGGCATCACAGCAGTTAAAAAGTAACTCTGAGATTTGAAACCAGAAACTCAGACATTATCAATGATCTAAGTGCCAAGGAGCCTATTTTGTGTTCCAAAATGTCACAGGACATTTCACATTTAGTTCTAAGGGTGCTAGATTGACTCAGAGGGGAAATACAGTCTATTTTGGCACCACGTTGAAATTAGCCTGAGTCCGGTGAGAGTATGCATCATAAAATGATGCCCACAGGTTAAGGGCAGTCCATGTTTACACCAGACATGGGATACATTTTATAAATGATTATTGATTGAATAGAATGAATCAAATTAAGAAAAGTAAAGACATTAGAGAGAGGATAAGACCTATTGTTCAACTGCCAAATCAGAAAAAGAGAAAGTTATGATAACATATGGTACCTAGTGCAGAGTGAATGATGAGGATAGATTACGAGATTAAGTTAAGCCAAGTCCAAGGTGTTCTTAGATGGATTCATTTAGGAGTGAAATGTGGCTGCAACTTGGATCACTCCTCCCACTTACTATCAGACGTTTAATGCAGGTGCCAGTCTGGTAACATGAAAGTATCAACCTTGGATGGACCCTATAACCATCAACTATCAGGTCAGGTCAGGGGCATGTGCACAGATGTGAAAGGAACAGAACACTCATGTCTTTCCTTGAAAGCTAGTGATTAACGTGGTGTGTATATTACAGGGCACACCAGGTACATGACAGTTATTGCCAACAGAAGAAAATTCTAAAGAAATCTACCATCATTATAATTAAGAAATACGAGCTCTTCCCCTATATACTCTGGGCACTGAATTTGTACAAATACTGGCAAATGGAAGGCACATGTATGGAATTTCTTACCTGAAAAAAAAAAATAGAGATAATGCATGATATCCACAGAGCTGTGATAGTTACATAAAATACACTTAGGAACATGCCTGATATGAAGGAAGTAGGATGCATATAGTTTGAATGAATTAATAAAGCACATGAGTATCTCCAAAGAAACATAGTAGGGTTGAATTAAAATTGGGTTTCTTCTCTCTTTTTCATGTTCAAATGGCCCCCTGTTCCAGTTACTTCAACTACCTCGGGAAGCTTAGCAGCACAGAACAACAATTTTTTATAATCTTTGGTATGTGATTCACAGACTTGGATGGGTCACTGCTGGAATGGGTTGTTTCTGCTCAACAGTATCTAGAACCTTGGAAGCCAGGGGCTGGACTCATCTAGAGGTTCCATAAACCACTCATCTAGCACTTAATGCTGGCTGTAGCTTGAGAATCTAGAAGAGATTACCAGTCTGACCACCTACACGTAGACTCTTCATGTGACCTGAGCTTCCTTACAATATGGTGGTTGCATTGCATAGGCTAGCATCCTGAGAGACAGAGAGACAAGCTGAAGCTGTATTATAACTTTACTTCAGAGTCACATAACTTACTCCGTTGGTCAGAGCAGTCACTTCTCACTCAGATTCCAGGAAAAAAGAAATAGCTCCACCTCTTGAAGCAGGGTGGCAAGGCTCTGGAAGAGCATAAGAGACAGAAAATATTACTGTGGCCACTTTTGGAGAATATAATCTGCCACACTTTCTGACATCCAAATCCCTATCAATACAATCCATCTATTTTTTACAAAAAGAAGCTAGGAAAATAACTTTTTTTACATTAATCTCTTACCAGTATTCCAGCACATCTAAATTTTGAAAATATTATGTTTTGAGATTTTAAAGAGAGATTGGATTAGAAATAGGTCTACATTGATTCCAATTTCAATGTCATATGCAAGCCTAACCTTAAAAATTAGAAAATAAAAGAGCGGATTTTTATTAAGCAAGTGTGATAAATCCTCAATGAATCACTAAGGTTTTTTGCATGATATGCATTTCCTCATTCTCCCTTGTGTTTGGAAATTTGCAACTATGTTTTTCTTTCTAATTCAAACATAACTCTTAAAGAAAATATGTAACTGGCCTCTCTTTGGCCCAGTTTCCTCATCTGTAAAATGAAAAAGATAAGCAATTCACAAAGTGCACTCATTGGCATGCTACTTAGGATAACATAGAAAAAGGTCTTTTGTTTGAGTAATTTGAGTACGACAGATTTTTTTGTTGTTGTTGTAGGATTTCTAAGATGCTTGAAGATTTCCCTCAAACCCTTTTTGACCATAGACTTTGTTTGCAAGATCACTTTAAG
This sequence comes from Homo sapiens, assembly GCF_000001405.40. Taxonomy (NCBI): domain Eukaryota; kingdom Metazoa; phylum Chordata; class Mammalia; order Primates; family Hominidae; genus Homo; species Homo sapiens. The sequence goes on from NC_000016.10 coordinate 64,826,815, forward strand.
GGACTGAAAATCCCTGGACCAAACTTTGAAACATACAGGGATAGGCAAGCCATTCTTAATTTGTGTTTCTGTAGGACACAGTGTTCAATATAAACAAGAATGGTAATCATTCCCCCAAAGGACAGAGAGGAACAAATGAAGAGAATTTACTCAATTTTACATGTTAGTCTCCTTATTGATTTCTAATTGTTTTGGCACCTGTTACGTCTTCCTCTTTTAAAATCAATTTTGAGGTGGCGTTTTCCCAACCTTGCTTCCTAGTAATAACAGTTACTATTTTTTTTATCTCAAGCCCTTATTACGGTTCAGCAACAATTTGAACATGTTCCATGTATTCTTCATTGAATTCTCCTAAAGACTCTAAAAATTAGACGTATTACTATCCCCATCGTATTTCCAGATGATGAAACTGAGGCTTAGAGATATTAAGGAACTCGTCAAAGGTCACAGATAAAGGGTAGAGAAAGATTTGGAATCAGATCTTGAGAAGTGCAATGAATTATGCTAATAATTATGCAATTTTGCCTTTTTGTCACACAGCTACCACTGCAAAAATAATGGGCCAGCGCAGTCTACAGATTACTCACATTATTATAATAATAACTAATCCCATGTTCCAGCTCACCTAGCTCTCCAATTCCTTACCTATTTCCAGACTTCTCAGACTGTTGCCCTCTGAGCTGGATGCTACTGCGGCTGCCACTGCTATTACTACTGATAATGGTGATAGCTTATTTTATTATTTATTATTTTACTGCAATCAATTTATTATTTATTTTTATTATGGTGTTGTTGGCTCTAAAACCTGACTTTTGATGCCACTTTTCTAGCTTCAGTTCTGGCTTCCTTTCTCATAGAATTTAAACTTAAAATATAGCATTTTGCAGCTCTAAAACCACATCTGATCCACCCCAGCCACAGGACACTTCCTCTCGGTGCTGGCTGTCCATGAAGTTGTCGTTGTTTCGGTCCAATGTAGCCTACAAACACCATTTGTGTTCCAAACCCCCTAGGGGCTCCTGTATCGTGTTGCACGCAGCACACCATGACATTAATTCACACTGCCATGGAAGCAAGATTGAGAGTCAGGGCTAAGTGATTTACTCAACAAGTATTTGTTGAACATCTTCTGTATAATGAGCACTGTGCTGGGAATACAGGGTGAGCAATGAAACCGGCAGTCTAGCAGGGGAGACCAGTGTCAGCGCCATACCCATGCAAGTGGGTTTATAAATACAACTGAGAAAAACAGCCTGAAATAAAGGAACAGGCATCCATGAGCCTGTAAACCAAAGGAACCTGATTTTCTTTAGTGGGAGAGAGAAATCTTGTTTGAGAGAAGGATCCTATGGTTGACATCTGAAGGACAAGTCAAGGTGGAATTATGCAACATGCCAAAGGAGGGAAAAGGGTCAGCAAGAGCAAGGACCCAAGGGTGCATTGAAGCTCAGACTCTGGGGAGTAGACGCTGAGTAGTGTAGCTAACAGAAAATAACATGATCTGATTCATACCTCTCTTTCCATTTAGATTCACATAGGCTAAGGACAGGATCTTACTATGAAAACAGTTGGGTGCCACTGGAAGTCCCAAGCGGAAAAATGAAATGAACTAAATTGCATTTTAAAAAATCACTTTGGCTGCAACTTCAGGAGAGAATTGGAGGGAGCCAGGGTAGATCTGAGGAGACTAAATGCAGTGCAATAGAAGGCTATTGACAACAGATCTCTAAGGGTTTTTTTCTGCTTTTATATTAGATGATTTCATGTTTATCCAGCAGAAATGGTAGACATTATTGGCCTGCATTTATTTGAAATGAAAACTAATTTATATTGCATTGTTATATGACTGCTCAGTAGATGTATCTTATTTGAAAATGTGTATCCTATTTCTACCCTGTAAAACTCTTTCTACAGTTAGGGCACATTTCATTGATTGCAATTGTTAAAGACGAAGCTAAACCGATGAATTTTTTTTTAAAGTCAAAGATGTGTACATGTGTGTATCCTAGTTTGTAAAATAGAAACGTCCTTGAAGCGAAGTGGAGTGGACAGGAGAGAAATACACATTTTTGGAGGCATTTATTCACTAAATAAGTATTTGTTGAGACTATTTATTAAACACCTACTGCATGTTCAGCACTCCCTCACCCTCTGGGATATAATAGAAAGACGAAATGAAACAAATTAGGCCTCTCCCTATTTCTTTCTGTCTTTGCCTGCCTCCCTCGCTCTCTCTCCCATTTTCTTTCCTTCTTCAAAATTTAAATTTGTTAAAAAGAATGCAGGGTTTTCCAGGCACAGATATATGACTTTTAATTCCAGCTGTGACTTTTAATTCCTTGAACACGTTACCTTTCTGATACTGAGGTTCCTTATTTGTAATTCAAGGAGAATAATATCTAAGAGTGTTTGGTCTGAGCATCTTCTAAGGACTGAGATAACATGTTCCAATCATCTAATACAGTATCTGGTACATATTTTCAAACTTAATATAAAACTCAGGCTCCCAAATTTAGATTATACCATAAAAGATTTTACACTCATATTCATATTTGATAATAATTTTACTGACTCCACAAAAAAACACTACACCCTTTACTTATCAGTTTTGGATATTTTAATACTTTAAAAACATTTATATCTGGCCAAACCATTTTAAATTATGATTCTAAGTGATGATGCAAAATACTTTAAGTTATACCAATATTGTGCTATTTTCTTCTTTGTAATCTTGAAGACTATAAAAAGTAAATGCATATAAACACATGTGAAAGCATGTATATAAATATATATAGATATATAATATACAGACACAATTGTGTCTACATATAGACAGAAATACACACACACACACACACACACACACTCACACACACCAGCAATGTGGGAAATGCCTTTGATATTTCCAGTGGTTTACACTTTGAATGTACAGTATTATCGAAGGATTGAAGTAATTTCTGAAGCCTTGAAATAGTGATGCTGCTGTCAATTTAATCCCCACTTTATCCACTACTTCTGCCCCAGGCTTTAAAATACAGCATTGTTCATGGGTAATTTCCCACTACTTCCTGCTGCTAACAAAATGGATACTTTCTTTAAACTAGAAAACACACTGTCTGGCATTACTCACTTCAATTGGCAATGGGTTTCATATGATCAAAGTCACAGCCTGCGGACAGACAGCTCCTATCCCTTTGAAACAAATCTCAGTGGTCTCTAATTCACAGGTTTGTATCTACCAAGATGTAAATATTTACCTTTCCCTAGAGTAGCAAGTACAGTAAGTGCCTAAATATAAGTCGATCTTCTGTTTTCTCAATATGGAATTTTTTTTTAAACTCTATCATCAGCCTAATTTATTAAATTTATAAATTTAGTTGTAGACTCTTTTATCATTCAAATGAAACATCAAACTTTTTTCATCCTTGGGATAAATGTCTTTGGGTCATTTAACACTGTTCTCCAAAACACACCATTTTCACTTCCATCGAAGGTACCTAAGTGAGAGAGGCTTTGAATCCTATACAATGATGCCACTCTCCAAATTAACCACTCTTACAATAAGCTCTACTGTTTTCTATGCTTCTCCATTCATCTTGTAAGCACAACTTTGTGACCTCCACAATGTAAGTATTTTATTTTAAAAGTCATCTTTAAAAGGCTTGTTTACAACATCATCTAAACTTGCAGTTTTGAGGTCAGAGCCCCAGTAATAATTATTAAATTGTGTTACATTTCCTTGTATTTTTTTTGTTTGTTTTTTCACTGATTCTGCCACTGACCTCTTTAAGCAATCCAAACTAGTATTGATTGAGGTCCTCTCAGGCTAATGTGCAGTACTTTGTTCAAGATACAGTCATTGAGAAAGTGCTTTGTAATGTGAGATCTTTTATTTACACTGAAAAATATGAATATTTTCCAGTTGGGTTGATGTGTACTGGCGGAAAAGCCTTAACTTCCTATGTAGACATTTATGGTTCATTGTATAAATGTCATAATGCTCTCCTGTGCTTTTAACAAGCAATTTCTTTGTAATACTTTATGGCATTCTTTTGTGCTGAGGCCAGCCTCTGTCTTTTGCAACTCTGCTTTATAAACAACCTCTTTTGTAAACCATTCTGTGACTTGCTGAAGTGCACATAGTCATCTGTGTAGTACTCGCTATTTTTCAAGAATTGAAATTAAGGCTTCTCATTTATTTTTCAAATCTCACTAGACACTCACAACTATTTGTTGTGACATTTCTATTCTCTCCACATTGCAGATGAGAAAAATTAAGCCTCAGATATATCAGGTAACCTGTCAAATATCACAGACTCAATCAGTAACACTTGAGCCTCAACCTCGGATCTATCTGATTCCAGAATTTTACCTGTTTATCTGAATATAGTGTATACAAGTGGTCCTATCATGTTTATAGAAGAAGCAGTTTTAGATATTTCTTAGAAAGAGAAAGATTGTTTTGTAGCTTGGAATAGTATAACTCAATTGTCCTCTGTTTCTGTTTTTCAAAAACCAAAGAAGGATGGCCCCACAATTTCACTTTAGGTGTTGAAATCAGAGAAATAAAAACATATGTTGACACAAAAACATACATACAGGCTCTTGGCAGCTAATATGGTTTGACTGTGTCCCTACCCACATCTCATCTTGAAGTTCCCCACGTGTTGTGGGAGGGCCCTGGTGGGAAGTAATTGAATCATGGGTGCAGGTTTTTCCTGTGCTGTTCTTGTGATAGTGAATAAGTCTCATGAGAATTGATGGTTTTTTGAAAGGGCAGTTCCCCTGCACTTCTCTCTTGGCTGCCACCATGTAAGATGTGCCTTCGCTTCTCCTTCACTTTCCACCATGATTTTGAGGCCTCCCCAGCCATGTGAAACTGTGAGTCCATTAAACCTCATTTTCTTTATAAATTACCCACTCTTGGGTATGTCATTATTAGCAGCAAGAGAATAGACTAATACAATAGATTGGTACCAGGAGTAGGGGTACTGCTGTACAGATACCTGAAAATGTGGAAGCAACTTTGGAACTGGGTAACAGGCAGAGGTTTGAAGAGTTTGGAGGGGCTCAGAAGAAGATAGGAAAACATGGGAAGGTTTGGAACTTCCTAGAGACTTGTTGAATTGGCTTTGACTAAAATGTTGATCGTGATATGGACAGTAAAGTCCAGGCTTAGGTGGTCTCATATGGTGATGAGGAACTTGTTGGGAACTGGAGTAAAGGTCATTCTTGCTATGCAAAGAGGCTGGTGACATTTTCGACCTGACCTAGAATGCTATAGAAATTTGAACTTGAGAGAAATGATTTAGGAAGAAATTTCTAAGTGACAAAGCATTCAAGAGGAAGCAAAGCATAACAGTTTGGAAAATTTGCAGCCTGATGATGCAATAGAAAAGAAAAACGCATTTTCTGAGGAGAAATTCAAGCTGGCTGCAGAAATTTGCATAAGTAACAAGCATCCAAATATTAATTGCCAAGATGATGGGGATAATGTCTTTAGGGCATCTCAGAGATCTTCATGGCCGCTCCTCCCATCACAGGCCCAGAGGCCTAGGAGGGAAAAACGGTTTTAAGGGCCAGTCCCAGGGCCCCCCTGCTGTGTGCGGTCTCAAGACTTGGTGCCCTGTTTCCCAGCTGCTCTAGCCATGGCTAAAAGGAGCCATGGTACAGCTCAGGTTGTGGCTTCAGAGGGTGCAAGCCCCAAGCCTTGGCAGTTTCCCCATGGTGTTGAGCCTGCAGATACACATAAGTTAGGAATTGAGGCTTGGGAACCTCTGCCTAGATTTCAGAGGATGCATGGAAATGCCTGGATGTCTAGGCAGAAGTGCGCTGCAGGGGTGGGGTCCTCGTGGAGCACCTCTGCTAGGGCAATGTGGAAGGGAAATGTGTGGTAGGAGCCCCCACACAGAGTCCCCACTGGGGCACTGTTTGGTGGATCTGTGAGAAGAAGGTCACTATCCTCCAGACCCTAGAATAGTAGATCTACCAACAGCTTGCACTGTGTGCCTGGAAAAACTGCAGACACTCAACACCAGCCCTTAAAGGCAGCCGGGAGGGGGCTATACCCTGCAGAGCCACAGGGGTGGAGCTGCCCAAGGCCATGGGAATCCACCTCTTGCATCAGCATGACCTTGATGTGAGACATGGAGTAAAAGGAGATCATTGTATCTAGGAAGTAACTAACTTGCTTTTGATTTTACAGGCTCATAGGTTAAACAGACTTGCCTTGTCTCAGATGAGACTTTGGACTGTGCACTTTGTAGTTAATGCTGAAATGAATTAAGACTTTGGTAGACTATTGGGAAGGCATGATTGGTTTTGAAATGTGAGGACATGAGATTTGAGAGGGGCCGGGAATGGAATGATATGGTTTGGCTCTGTGCTCACCTAAATCTCATCTTGAATTGTAGCTCCCATAATCCCTATGTTTCATGGGAGGGACCCAGTGGGAAGTAATTGAATCATGGGGGCATGTTTTTCCTGTGCTGTTCTTGTGATGGTGAATAAGTCTCATAAGAACTAATGGTTTTATAAAAGGGCAGTCCCCCTGCACTTCTCTCTTGTGTGCCACCATGTAAGATGTGCTTGCTCCTCTTTTGCTTTCCTCCATGATTGTGAAGCCACCCCAGCCATGTGAAACTGTAAGTCCCTTAAACCTCTTTTTTCTTTATAAATTACACAGTCTTGGGTATGTCTTTATTAACTGTGTGACAACAGTCTAATACAGCAGCTTTCTTCATAATAGTTCTAAACTAGAAACTACCCAAATACCTACCAACAGGTGAATTGTTTAACAAATTCTGTTCCAGTACAATGAAATAGCATTCAGAAATAAAAAGGAAAGAATTCCTGATATATGTAACAGCATAGATGAATCTGAGAAACCTGTTGAGCAAAAGAAGCAAGTGCAAAACAGTATACAATGAGTGATTCCCTGTATATGAAGTTCAAGAACAGGCAAAACTAACCTACAGGCATGAAAGCAAGTCAGTTATTCCCTGGGCTAAGGGTTGAGGTGGATTGCAAAGAGGCCCTAGGGAACTTTGGGAAACAATAAGAATATTCTATATTTTGATTGTGGTCCTTTCTTCCATGGCTGTGGGTACTGGTAAAAACTCTCTGTAATGTACATTTAAAATGGGTACATTTTGGCTGGGCACAGTGTCTCACACCTGTAATCCCAGCACTTTCGGATGCTGAGGCAAGCCGATCACCTGAGGTCAGGAGCTCAAGACCAGCCTGGCCAACATGGTGAAACCCTGTCTCTACTAAAAACATAAAAATTAGCCAGGCATGGTGGTGGACACCTGTAATCTCAGCTACTCGGGAGGCTGAGGCAGGAGAATCACTTGAACCCAGGAAGTGGAGGTTGCAGTGAGCCAAGATTGCACCACTGCACTCCAGCCTGGGCGACAGAGTGAGACTCATCTCAAAAATAAAATAAAATGGGTATATTTTAATTTATGTAAAATATATTTCAATAGAATTGATTAAAAAGTCAAAGAAATGAATTTTGTATTAAAACTATGAAAATTTAAACATTAAAAATAAAGATTGGCTAGTTTGAGGATGAGGGTGTTGATAATTGCAAGTAAATTAACAAAGGCAATAATGAAGAAATGAGAGATATTTGACCTTTAAAATAGATGACTCAAGAGAAGAATTAGACTGACTTCAAATATCAGACACAAGGTTATATGTAACAGGCAAGGAGGAACAAACATTTCACAGAGCAGAAGACAGAGACCTGGATCTCACATAAGGAAACTTTGTAATAACTGTAGTTGTCCAGTGGAAAGGGCTGCCCTGTGCAGTGATAAACCCCAACAGACTAGCTCAAAAGAAGTCAGATAAACAACTCTTGATAATGATGTTTAAGAGATCCTTCAAATGGATGAAAAGGCAACTTAGCAATCCTTTAAATGAAAATTATTTCCTCTGTGAGCTAAAAAAATTACACTCCTTTTAAGGTGTCTAAAAGTCCAGTTCAATTCAAAAAGCATGCATGAGATTTTTAATTGATCAGACAGCTGTCCAGGAGACAACATATAGAATGGTTCATTACACTAAAATGCATAGAAAATTGGCCTTAATTCTACGAAGGAATTTGGGCCTCCCTATAAATAAAATAGATTTATTTTTTTCTCCCGACCGTCTCTAAGAACTCCTTCAATTCACTTCATTATGGAGTTCATAATCAAGGCTAGAAAATGTGTTCCGGGTTATAGGGAATACACATATATACACAGAATAACAATGTTGATCTAATTATGCAGGAGAAGCCTACACATATTACACTACAGCCAGGTGTGGGCCCAAAGAATACCAAACACAAATTGCTCTGGAGTTAGAGGGGCCGCAGTTACCCAACTATATATCGATCCACTCTACCCATTGGTGATCTCCACCAAGATATAACAGGAGCCCCTCAAAATTAACTGATAAAATTGAACTGAGTATCGCTCCATTCAGTCTTCTCTTATTGTATTCCTCATCACAGAAAACAGCATCTAAGCTACTCTTCAGACTTGAACCTGGAATATACTCTTGTGCCTCCCTCCTACCCTATCCAATAAACCATTATTCTTGCTAATTGACATTTTTTTAAATCATTTCTCCGATCCAGCCCTTTCTCCTATTCTCCCTGCCACTCTCTCTCTCACCCCAGGAACCCACAGTGTATGACCTGGCATAACGCAATAGCTACCTGTGCGTTTTAGAAAACCACTTAAGGCCCTGTATAATCTAAACCTTGCGTACCCAAGTATCTGACCCCATCTTGAAGCTTCTCTTTATGCTCTCTTCTCTAGTAATAGTCAGTTGTTTAACATTCTGTGGGTTCTTGTTTAGCTTTAGTACTATTATCCCACCACATCTATCCTGACCCTCATTCTGCTCCACCTTTAAAAGTATCTCTTTAGTGAAGGCTAGGCAGTGCCTAATATACCCCAGGACAGAACTCTGATGGAAGCAAATTGTATGATATGGTTTGAGGTTTCCAACCTCACCCCTTGTTTCCTGACTCTAGGACATTTAGTTCTGCAGCATAGATCCATACTTAACTTATTGGACCAGTAACAGATATTTAGAAGGTGGAGGAAAAAGAGATACCTGGCCTTATCTAAAATGTCAGGAAGCAGACAGCATTGCAGAGCTAGAAGCACAAAAGGCTTGTTCAGAAGTAATACCTGTGATTGAAAAACAAAGGAAGCAAGATTGGGCAGGAGGAGTCCTTACACCAAGATAGGGACCTAATAACCCAAAGCCAAGGTGTGAAACAACAATTGCTGATTGCAGTCCTGCACTGGACAGAAATGTCTAGGCTGCTATGACCCCAGCCAGCCAGTCATGGCCTGGTGGCCAATCCAAATGTAGTGTGGCTTTGACTCAAAAGCACAGGTCACCTCTATAATGCCAGACTTAACATGTTGGGGCTGTCAACTAGCCACACACCTCACAGCTGGGAGGAAATCCTTTCTTGAAGGGGAGCGGAACAGTGCATTTCTGTAATTGCCACTGTATGTCCCTGGTACTGCATGAAGCAAATCTGCACCAATAACCAAGGATCTGGGGCCTGTCTTCCTGAGGAGAAATTTAGAAGATGGAGGATAGGAGGATGAATTACTGTCTTTGTTTGTATAATTAGTCTCAAGTTTATAATTGGACTTCATTCTCTCCTCTCCCTCCCCAATTATCTACTCTAAATACCCTCTCTCTCTCAGCTACGTGATAATCTGAACATCATTGCTGAGGACACTGAGCTCCTGTTGACCATACTCTTCTTAAGCAGCATCATTTCCTCCTTCCATTCACAGTTGCAGATAGGCAATAGAGAACCAAGAGAAACCTAAGAAGATTGTCCAAGTCCCACAGATAGCCCTCCTACCTCCACTGTGTATCGACAGCCCGCCTCCTCCTGCTGATCAGGGTAACTTACCTCTAACTAGATGACTGTTTTTTCTTATTGCCTGATGGTCTCTGGATACAACTCACCCAAAGTACCCTGGTGACAGCCATAATTTGTGTATGATGTGACATTTGCTGGGTCTCCTGGGGAGAATGTACTCCCTTTGGAAATCAGGACCTCTGACCTTGTAGAACCCTGATTTTCACAGATAGGAAGCACAGAATTCTCCAGTGAGTCACTGCAAATGATAATAAATGAATCTACTATTGCTTCTATTCCTTATTCACAAACCTATGGCATGTTCATATAGAGAGCATAGCACCAGACAAATGGCTTTAGATATACCACATTCTGGATGACAATCTATCTTTGCAGAGTATTATTATTATTTAAAGTATAATATTATTGAAAGACCATTTCAAAACTCTAGGAGGCCAGCTGCTTCTGGAAAGTGTGATCTGACATGGTCAGTAGATCTCATGTTCATGACACCACTTTTGCATGTCCCTCACTGTAAAGTGTCTCCCTCCCAGTCAACTGCTATATTTTGTGGGATCCAATGACTATGGATCAGGTACTTCACAAGCCCTGGAATAATGGTGATGGCTGAGACTCTATGAGTAGAAACACCAAACTCATATCCAGAATATGTGTCTCTCCTGTGTAAATAAATAAATAAACCATCCAGGAAGGAAGCTTCCCAATGCTGCCAACTTTTCTTCTTTTCTTAATTTCTTTCCTTTTTTCTCTCTCTTTCTTTGTCTTTCTTTCTTTCTTTTTCTTTCTTTCTTTCTTTCTTTCTCTTTCTTTCTTTCTTTCTCGCTTTCTTTCTCTCTTTCTTTCTTTCTCTTTCCTCCTTTCCTCCCTTCCTCCCTTCCTTCTTTCTTCTTCCTTCCTTCCAGGGCAAATTAGCCTCTTTAGGAACTAGAACTGTGCCAAGTGCTCAGAATTGGTCTCTTGCTGGCAAATCAGGAATTGAGGCAGCAGTAGATCAGCCTTGGCAAGCAGGAGTCCATGCAGTTGAAAGTGTTCCTAACCTCTGTCTCTTCCATCACAGCCATTTCCTTCATATGTCCATCCTGCCAGTGTCGGGGTGGACATCAACAATAGCTGGTTAACATTAACTGGCCAAGTCATACTGTCTCCTTAGTTGCTTGGTGCATTTTCAGTGCTGGAAACATGCTAGTTGATGTTCATGTGTGATGGGGATATGTTCACACTTTGTACCCACTTTCATATGCCTTTCCATTGCTCATAAATCCATAGATTTTCTTACCTTGTGCCACATTTCCTTTCCCACAAGGCGGATGACTGATGCCATCACCTAAAGCTCCATGCAGAAGATCTGCCCTTCCCCTATCTTTCAAAGCCACCTCTGACTGTGGCTATAATGCAGCTGCCATTTATTTTTAGTCACCAAGCCAACCCTTTCATAAGTGAAGATGACAATGGGAGTGAGGTGAGGGAGGGGCACTGGTGCAATAGTGGTGGTGACATGGGAGCCTGGGTTACTGCTCATATAGCTTGCTGATGCCCTATGTTCATGCTTGTGATTGGACCCTCACATACCATTTCTGCATTTCCATCTCGTGATGGATTTTTTTCCAAACCAAGCCAACTATTTTACTAGAAACTACGTCTTAATGGGTAATTCTGGGTCCATGATCACTTGGTGTTGCATGGTCAAACATTATGTTCCTACCATGGCTCTGTAGCATTTCAGAAGCTGTTTTTCAAAATGGGTTTAATTTAATTTTCTGCAACAGATGACATGGCTTTTCTCCATAACTCCAGTGGTTTACATCGGATTCTCCCATTGGAGCTTGCCATCTGATTCATACCACATCTTTTTCCACCATTTACATGTCCAGTATTGTATAGTCTATCAAACTCCATGGCTTGCTATTATCATGATTAGCCTGACTTGCTGTAGCCCTTTCCTGATCCTAACCTTATTCAAAGCCTTCTATTTCATCAAGATAGATCATAGTTGTATTTTACTAGTTGTGGAAATTATTCCCTCCACAATTAGAACAGGATGTTAGATACTATGATAGCTTCTCTGATGTAGGGGATGTAATATGTTGCAACTTGTCTTTTACACTGGAGGAGATGTTCTGCATATCCCTGACTACTGGATGATAAAAACCTAATTGGAAAGTGATCAGATAAGATGCAGATCTGACAATGTCTCTACCAGTCCAATGAGGATATCTGGAGCAAAGACTAGCTGGTACAAAAGTCCTGTGTTGGGCAGAAATGACTAAGCCCTTCTGTTGCCACCTTGCACAGTGGCTACAGCTTGTTCCTGAATATTAGTAGAGTTTATCTCCACCATCCAGCCACCTCTTGCTCATCTTGTCCAATTAGAATAATGCTATCAATTGACTAAATCAACACAATTTTGGGGGGATATCCAGAAGATTCATATCTCCTCAGACTAGTATAATAGTCCATAGGTCATTTAACTTACCCCGTGGGAAAATTATAAATATATATTGTATCCATTCCATAGGAATGAATATGAGTGAGAACTGTTTCCTATCCTCTTTCCCAATTGGTATAAGAAAGAAGGTATTTACTAAATAATGTCTGCATACCATAAAGCCTTACTGATCTGCTCTAGAAGGTACATCATTCAGCATAGCAACTGCAATTGGGGCTACTACTTGGTTGAGTTGTCCACAAATATTCTGTAGAATTCACCTAGTTTCTGCAAGGGTAAGATTGAGTTGTGTACAGATGTTATCCAGAATTCATCCAGTTTCTACAGGAGCCAGAATGTCCAATCAATTGAGATATTTAAGGGTCACATTAATCTCCATGACTGACCATATACACTCCTCAATAAAAATATTGTCTTGATTTGACTCAATTTTAAAGTCTTCCACTTGGCTTCTCCAACATGATAGCTCTTATCTCACAGCCCAAAGTCATAATTTGTGGGTTACTGAACCTTCCAAGAATGTCAATCCCATCATACATTAGAGGATTGGAAACAAAGACCAATGGGTGGGTCCAAAAATCAGTGGACCCACTGTTCACTGTAAGTCCAATTTTTTACAAGACTTAATCTATTACTTGATTCTCAAGTGACTTCACTCTTAAAAAGAGAAGCTATGATGATTCCTTGGGTTTCTTAGTATCGATGTCAAGTTGGAGTTTTTGTACATTTGTCATTGAAATGCCTGAGTCCCCTTTCCCAAGTCTATGGTCACTTGTATAAATGCTCATAGATTTATTTCAGGGTAATTACTGTAATGTATGCGTGTCATTTTCCTACAGTGGCCTTCCCTCTGGGAACCTGTGCATTTCTTCAATCAATGGGTTTCGGGTCTACAAACTTGCCCAGAAATTTAAACAAGAGATTATGATGTTTTATCAAAGAAACCACCTTCAGCCTCCTTCTCTTTCTATTGCTATATACTTAGCATATAAGGATATTAATAAAATGAAGAAGACAGAGAAAGAGGGAGAGAGAAGTATTTTTGCTGCTTTGCTGGCTACCCCTCTATTTTGCTTCTAGAGATGTTGTGTTCCATTTGCCATTACCACAATTCTGTACTTCATCCTGGCTGCCACTCTGTCCTTGTTGAAGTTTATGATAATTGCGGTATACTGGATTTGGTAGTTAAGAGCCATCACTTGACATCTATTGTCATGTCTCTATCATCTCCGTGGCTACCAATAAGCCAAACTGGATGACAACCTCCCTGCTACCAGCTCTTGCCTGAGGAGAGAGCCACCATTGAACTTAGTGATATTGGTGTCCACTTACCAGTCCATTCTGGTGTGTTCCTGTGAAATAAAATCCTCAGATAAGTCTTTTATCATCATCTAAATATGACCATTCACACATGTCCTCTTCCTTGAGCCTTTTCATCCCCTTTCCTACCATCTGTTGCAGAAATTCAGGTGTTTCAATGTTGCTCCATATGCATATCTCTTTTTCCAAGGTATACAAGCCATGTCTGCTGCAAGTTTGATACATCCTCTGGGATCCTTACCAAGATTTGGAATCCTGAGAGAATGGCTTCTAATCAATAAACTCTCCTTTATTAAATCCTATTCTCCTTCCCCTTGAATTTGATCTAACACCCTTAGAATCTAGTCTCATGGGTACTCCTTGGCCACTGTCAGTTCATGCTGTTTATGTCTTGGAGCTCCTTTGGGTTATGGTCTCTTTCCTCCCTTAGGAATCCCAGCACCTCAATGGTCAGGGTTGTGTTGCTATTTAACCGTGAGTAGTAACCCTGATGGCCAGTGGAGGTGGTAAGGGCATTTCTTGACAGAAGCAGGCACCTGTTAGCTTGAGGAGGAAATGCCTCTCTGCATTATCTCCCTGCACAGGTTAAGTGGTAGCTCTTAGTGGGGGATGGTGCAGAGAAGGCACTTCTGCAAACTTGTAAGATTCAGAGAAGTTTGAAATGTTAAATTCCTTGGGGCATGGCTCCTACTCAGATAACTTCATCTCACGTGTCAGGGTCGCATGTTTTCCCAACTAGAGCCTCCAATTTTGTCATAACTGGCCTGCTTTGGTTGAACATTCAACCCTCTTTGATGTTAAGCTATGCTAACTATTCAATGTAGTACTTACTGTTCTGTTTTCATTGCTCTGTCATCGTGTGACATGAGGGCCTCTTTAAAAGCTGCCGAAGAGATTCTCTCACTCTCACACTTAGTTTTCAAGTGTTTTGTTGTTGTTGTTTGATTTGGTTTGGTTTTACTTGTCATCATCTTATTATCCATGTATAGGGGAGCAATGCAACTTACTAACAACTATACAAATCCATTAATTATCTTCATGGTTGTTATCATCCCCAAAGCCTGAATCATCACACTGGATAGTTTACTCCCTTCCACTGCCACATTCTCCTAAATCATCACCAGTAAGATTTTAAAAATTTGTTTGTCACCTTGTGCCAGGGGCTATTTGTGCTCCACCTGCTGGACAGGTGTAGTGGCCCAGTACCAAAACCTCATCTTCCTCCCTACTTTTATCAACTGTCATAGATCAGATTCCTCAGGAAGCAGACAGTGGACAGAGCTAAGAAGGAAAGCCTTACTGGGGACTGACATCTATAAAAGAAAATAGTTCATATGCTGAAATATACAGATCCACATATTTTATCATTTGTATTTATTTGTTTATTTATTTAGAGACAGAGTTTTACTCTTGTTGCCCAGGCTGGAGTGCAATGGCACGATCTCGGCTCACTGCAACCTCTGTCTCCCAGGTTCAAGCGATTCTCCTGGCTCAGGCTCCCAAGTAGCTGAGATTACAGGCACCTGCCACCACATCCAGCTACTTTTTTTTTTTTTTTTTTGTATTTTCCTAGAGACGGGGTTTCACCATGTTGGTGAGGTTGGTCTTAAACTCCTGACCTCAGGTGATCCACCCACCTAGGCCTCCCAAAGTGCTGGGATTACAGGCATGAGCCACTACACCCAGCTCCCATATTTTATTTTTTATAGCTACACGTCATAGTGATTTTTGTATTACTTTTGAATCTCTACACATTTGAAACAACCTCAATGTGAAATTTTAGCTGTTTCAAGATATCTTGCAATTAGGATTCAAAGCAAAGTAATTTTCCTGCCAAGATTTCTCCCTTTGTTATCTCCTCGTTCCATCGGAAGCCATTCAGTCTGTTATAGAACTGGAGGAGTGCTTAGAGCTGCCCCCTCACATGGAGTGTTAAATCATTGGCCATCTTTTCCAATATGTATTTGCACACAAAGGCCTAGTATAAAGGTTAAGAATCTATCTTGATATTATCACTTGGGTAATCAAAGAAGTAATTACAAAAATGCTCTTGGAAGAGAAGCAGCATGATTCAGTCTTGGAAAAGCAATTTATTTGCTGTTCTTTTTTTAAAAAAAGCAGATTTGGCAAGGGTCCATGATTAATTTAACATTTAGTCAACATAGCAATGAAGGGGAAAGTCTTTTTCTGATAGACAGGTTATTACAATCAAGTCAAGAAATGATTGCATATTTAAACGTGTGATTATATCATAATTCATATGCTGAATATATGAATTACTAAGTAGGACAACTCCAATGCTTAGGACATAACACATACACCCGAGTAATATCTTTTTGTTTCACATCTTTCTAATGAATTCCTTCCCACTAAATTATTAAATCGTAAGTCCAAAGAATACCGAATTAGAAAGAAGCAGTGAGAACATCTACACCAGCAATTTTCAGTGTGTTCCATGGAACCCTAGGGCTCCACAAAAATAACTCAAGGATCCACAAAAAGGAAAAGGAAGACCAAGGAAGAAAAGTTACAAGTCCCCTGACCTACTTCAACTTGAGCAAAACCTTTTACAGAATTTGAAATCTAGTGGAGCTACTAAAGAAGTTCAATTTTTTTCTAATTTAGTTATTTTTTGAGACAGGGTCTTACTTTGGCACTCAGTCTGCAGTGCAGTGGCATTATTACAGCTTGCTGCAGCCTCCAACTCCTGGGCTTAAGAGATCCTCCCGTCTCTCCAGTAGCTGGGACTACAGATATGCACCACCACGCCTGGCTAATTTTTTAATTTTTTGTAAACACAGGATCTCTATTTTTCCCAGGCTGGTCTTGAACTCCTAGACTCCAGTGATCCTCCAACCTCTGCCTCCTAAAGTGCTGGGATTACAGGCATGAGTCTGTAATTTAATTCTTGAAATACATATTAATGCGAAGCAGACTCTCTACATGATCATCTTGTCCTTGCCTGAGTTGCTCACATGATATGGCTCTTTCTACTTTTGAGGCTGTCAATTCTATTTTTTTTTTGACAAGTCTCAAATAGGTCTTTTCTGATTTGGACACAAATATGTATCTCTACAGTGTACATTCTATACTTGCATGGAATGTTTGGAAATGCATTACAAGCATTTCCTTATGTGTGTTACCAGTCGGTTTTCCATGGAACCCTGACTTGGAGCTTAGGGTGCAGAGTGTTTGTTAGGGAATGCTCTTAGAATCAACGCCTGTTAGAGAGTGGGAAAAGGTTAGGAAGAGGAGGAAGTCAAGAAGTACTGCTTATACAAAACTAACCCCACAAGGAGCTCTACAGCTAAAATCAAGCAACTTACTTGACTGAGCAAACTCAGAGTCCAACTCTACACATCCTGTACCAATTTTGCTATTATTCTTTGCTTGTAGTTCCTCTAGGGAATGGTATTTTGACCCTCTTATCAGGTTCAGCACATCTCAAGCTGTTATAGGTCTAGTGTCCAGGATGAGAGTGAAGTGACATCCAGAGGAAACTCTTGTTATCTTTCAGAGAAGAAATGTCTGAATTGCTTTCCAGCAAGAGGAACTTCCTAGCTTTTCAATTGTGCAATGTGGGCCACTGCTGTAGGCTCAGTAGATTCAGGAAAATATGCAAAATCAAGATTTTCAGGTTCATCAACTTAGCTGTTCCCATTCCATATTTTTCCAGTCATATAGTATCTGCTCTTATAAATTTAACATCTAATCTGTCCTCTATCCAACCTAGATTCTGACCTTGGCATAGCAAATCTGCTTTGGCTTTAAGTTAATCTGACTAGTAAATCCTGGTCCTGTGGCTCAGCTTTCTCTGCTGTCTTGCACAGGAGAGGAGGACTTCTTTGTCTGCTGCCAAAGATGCCCTCTAGCTTTCCTACGGACTTTCAGTTGTCCATTAATCACTCTCAGCCCTTTATTGTATTTGTTTAGAGAGTAGAAGGATCCTAAAACAGCCACATCTTCTACTGTTTTTATAGTTACTATATCCTCCATTTGAATCAGTGATCCAATACACTGCAGGAGCTAGTGTATTTCTGTCCAATACATCCCAATTCACAGCGAGTAAAAGTCTAAAAGTTGGACCACTATATTTTGCCAGGGGCTGTCTGTTCTCCACCTACCACCCATGCATGTTCACTACCAGCTAGCCAGCGAATGACCCAGGCCAAAAGTGCCACCTGAAGAACTACTGTCCCAGATCACTCCTGGCACCAACTCCAGAGGTTTGTTTCTTCTGGAAGCAGACTTTTGTTAGGGAGTAGTCTTGGGATTAACACCTGTGGCAGGAAGAGAAAGGAAGCAGGATTGGGCTGAGGGAAAATTCAAACTGAAATGCAGACCCAATGACAGCCTTGATAAATCTATCAAGATTTATCAAGATGGGGATCTCTGTAGTTAAAATGGCACATCAAAGTTATCTCACATAGGAATGAAATAGCCTAACTGTTATATTCCCAACTATTACTGGATTTGAGCCACGTAAGGAACAGTGGAACTATGGGCAAAGTAGTTATCTGCAGACATTATGCTGGTTGCTTTATCTCATTTATTCTCATATTAAATGTAAAAGTTTCCTTTTCACTTTTTTTCATTCATTTACAATTATTCAAAAATCTTAGATTTGTAAAACTATCTTAGGTGTCGAGGGCCTGTAGAAAATGGTATATTTTAGCTTGTAGTTTCTGAGATGAGTTGACAATTCAGCTATGTCTTCAAGGACACCTACACAGCATCACCACCATCGCCACACAAATATTGATATCTCAAGCTTAACATATTTAGATTCAATCCTTTCCTCTTACTCATCTCAGTTATAGCAACTCCACCTACTAATTGCTCAGGTCAAAATCTTTGGAATAACTCTTGTTTCATGCCCCATCCTTGTTTTATCTTTATTTTATGTCCCTCATCTAATCCTTGTTTTATGCCCTACATCTAATACTTCATGAAGTCATGTTGGCACCATCTTCAAAATGCAGCAAAAATATAATCATCTCTCACCATATCTAATAGAACAGCCCTGGTCTGAGCCACCATTATATCTCACCTGGATTACTATAGGCTGTCTGATTCTATCCTTGATTGTTTATAATCTATTCCCAATATATCAACTGGAGTAATAACTTTATAATCAAAACCCTGCATTGGCTTCTTATTTCACTTATAACACAAATTAAAAGCTTTCTCAATGATCTGTCTTCTCACATGCTTGCTCTGCTTCTAGCACATAGATTAGTATATCCCATGTATGGAGCAGTCATGAGAAATGAAACTACTGCTGGAGGGAGCAAAGCAGGAAGGGCATTTTATGATACAGCATATCATGTAAGGAGGGAAACACAAGAACTACAAAAGAGAGTTAGTGGTGTTGCAATAACATGGATGAAAGAAGATGAGAGCTTGAAATAGGGCATCAACAACAGAGATAGAAGAGACAATCAGAGTGTAGAGCAGTCAGAGCTTAAGTGATACTTAGAGAGTATATAATTGTTTATATACTTTATATGTAATTGTTTATATAATTCATCTATATATCATGAGTATATAAGTATATACTTAGAGAATATGTAATTCAATTCCTTTGAGGAATTGAATGATTTGAAGAGAAGATAAGTAAAAGAGATTTCCAAGATCCTGGGTAGCACAAGTGTGATAATATGGGTGCCATTATTAAGATAAGCAGCAAAAGAAAAGACACAAATTAGAGAACAACATGCTTTCTATTTGAGATATGTTAAGTTGAATGTACCAGCTTATCCCATAAGTGAGATATTCTAGAAAGAAGTCAACCAGACTGTAGAAATTATAGAACTGAAATTCAGAAAATAGATCAAAGATGGGCATATTGATATTGGGAATGTTAAAAAAAGAAACTTTAGATAAATTTAGCAGCGATTACTTGAGCAAACAGGTTTATGATCTAGGCAGCACTCAGAGCAAAGAGGTGCAGGGAGCTCCATTCGGTAGTGTGAACCTCAAGCTTTTACAGGCCAAACACAGAAGAAAAGTAGAGAAACACACCTGAATGGCTACAACTAGGTGGACATGATGTGATGAGTTGGTCTCTGTGATTGGTTGAAACCCAGCTGCATGTGATTGGAGGAAACTCTGCTCTTCGTTATATTCCTAAGTTAGGCTTCAGTTTGTTTGCATACTAAGAATCTGGTTTGTTATGTAAGAACTCAAAGTTCATAGACAGCCGCAGGCTAATACCCTCCTGTTTATTTAATAGGATTCAGCATGGCAATTTAATTCAAAATGGCAATTTAAATCATGAAGATAGTGTTGGGAATGTCAATATTTAGATATAGCAAAACTAGAGAATCACTCACTCAAAATTGACAAGAAGAAGCTATAGAAGTTTAGAGTGCAAATTCGTCACTTTTTGATCTCCAAGTTATTGCCAGTGAGGAAAAGACACAGGCAGCTACGTGGAGATCAATGGATTCCATTATTCATGTGCCAATAATGCTTAAAACACGCTACTCAGAAAGTTCAGTCTACCTAAAGTACTATCCCTGAATGTTTCCTACAGACAATGATTCTGTGCTACCACACCAATGCACTTCTGGCTATATTTGGTCAATGAGTAACCCTGGTGGAAGATGGAGGGCATAGGAACAAAGAAGGAAGCCAAATTTTTCTTCCTCTTTTTCTGTGGTTTGTAGTCACGTGATTATAACAGCTGAGTCTCCATAAACGTTCCAGGTTCTAACTGGATGCTCTCTTTCTCTTTGGAGTGGGGCAGCCATCTTTCTGATTCTGGTTTCCACTAAACAGACCCAGCCCCTGGGTTGCTTCTGTTAACACCACCTCCTTCCTCTCTTTGTCCCTCCACTCCCAGAGGGTTAGCAACTTCTCAACATTACTAAAGTCTCTTTTGTGTTGTTTTTTGTTTGTTTGTTTGTTTGCTTTTTTGTTTTTCACCATGCTTTAGTTGGCTTCTCGCCCCTTGCATTACCAATTAATTACCTGTACTAAATTTGAATTACCTAGAGTGGTCCCTGTTTTCTTGAACTGATGTGATGATGCTGGCTCATATATTTTTAAAACATATTTAGAAATTAAAGCCAAAATATTAAAAGCCTCCTACTAGCTATGTGTCTCAGACAGTAACCACCCCCCCACCAAAAAAAAAAAAAATGAAAAGAGTCAATTTTTCTCTATTTTAAAGTGGCTTGATCTGCCATACCTATGTAGTGGAAAAGTGAGAAACTGAAGGAAAGGAGCAGAGAGAACAGGTCTATTTCCTACCCAAAGACAAGGAGCACAATTTGAGTCAAAGAGACTCAATTCTGGGGGCAGAAAAAGAAAGATCCATGAACTTCCTTTCAGGACTAAGAACTTACCTTCTGACCAATAAAATCAGGGATCTTCACTCTCTCATCAGTAAGACAAGTCATCTCCAATGTGAGTAGATTAGTCCTTTGTGCTTTCCCTATGAAGGTCTAAGACACAGGATAAGGGAAATATTTGCATGATCCTTCTCTCCACACTATCTTCAAAGAAATAGAGTGAGTAGCACATTTTCTCTATTGAAAGTTATGGCCTGGAAAATTAATCCCTTCCTGCAAGTAACTAGAGAACCAGGAAAAACTGGTAGGGCTGAGTCCAAACAGAAAGTGAATTTTAACAAGAGGGCAAGATCAATAAGATTAAATATCCCAGAAACCTCAAGTTAAAATAGCAATTGCAGATTAGTTATTGGATTCACCAACTAGAAAGTGTTTGATGAGTTTTAAAGAGAAACTTCAGAGATATAATGGAGGTATTAACCAAATGCCAATAACTTGGGAATCGAATTGCAAGAACGTGATTCCAGTATGGCTACATAGTTCTTTCAAGCAATTTAGCAGGGAAGGGTAGAAAAACGTGAACAAAAGAATGAAAAGAAGAATAGACAGGACTTTTTTGTCAATCAGAAATACTTGTGTATGTTTACATGCTGACTGGAAAAAGAGCCAATGAAGAAGAAAAGTTGAAGTAGAGGAAAAAGATTTGTTAATGAAGCAGGAACACTCAGGGGCCAAGAGATAAAACAATGCAAGATATTGTGGATAGATGAATTATAGAAGGAAGAAATTTCATTCTCCCGGGACAAGAAAGTGAGAAGAGATTGGTAGAGACAGAAACCAATTTGGTTAATTCCCTTAAATATCATTAATCACTTTCCTTCTTAAATTAATTTATGGCACATATTACTGTAGTCAAAGAGCTTGATAAGTTATACATAATCTGTTATCTCACTGATTTAATTTTTTAATTTTTAATTTAATTTAATTTAATTTATTTTTGTGTGTGTGTGATGGACTTTCACTCTTGTTGCCCAGGCTGGAGTGCAGTGGTGTGACCTTGGCTCACTGCAACCTCTGCCTCCTGGGTTCAAGCAACTCTCCTGCCTCAGCCTCCCAAGTAGCTGGGATTACAGGCTCCTGCCACCACGCCCAGCTAATTTTTGTATTTTTAGTAGAGACAGGGTTTCATCATGTTGAGACCACCAGACTGGTCTCAAACTCCTGACCTCAGGCAATCCACCTGCCTTGGCCTCCAAAAGTGCTGGGATTACAGGCGTGAGCCACCAAGGCTGCCTATCTCACTGATTTAATATAATTCCAGTCAAAGGAGGAATCCTCCCATTATTGCCTGGTAGATGAAGTCACTTCCCTTTACTACTTCTCTCATCTTGCATGTCTCCATCATTTCTATCTGGCCAACATAGAGCAGAGAAATTTTTGTGCTGGCATTTGTATCAAACCAGTAGATTCCATGATGTACATATTAAGGAATTAAATGAAAAATAGTTCTATGTTAAACAACATAAAATGCTTTTCTTTACCGCAAAATATATTGAAGGTCTTATTATTGTCTCAAGGGAAGTAAACAAAATGCAGTGTTCCCTACCATCACTAGACTGTAGAGGTTTTTATTAGTGGTAATCATAATTGATAAATGTTCTTGGCAGCATCCTTTGATGCTGCAGTTGCTGCCTCTGTAGAAAGTCATGCAAGGTGTCCCGCTTTCTGGGGCTTTTTTAGTGAAGACAGTCCCAGTGATGTTGTGTTCCCCCAGGACTCCAAACATATTTCTCAAAAATGTCATAAAAGTTTTTGTGTTGAAATGAATTGTAACATTCTTTTCAACCACTGGATTGGAAAAAATGATTTGAGCATGAAAAATTCTCCATACCTTCACTATTACAATGGCCGAGATCTAAAATGCAGACAATGCCAAATGCTAGCAAGGATGCAGAACAACAGGAACTGTCATTAATTGCTGGTGAGAATATAAAATGATGAAGCCACCTTGGAAGGATATTTGGCAGTTTCTTATAAAACTAAACATATTCCTACCATAGAATTCATTAATTGCACTAACTGATATTTACCTGAGGGAGCTAAAAGCTTATGGCTATACAAAACCTGCACACTGATGTTTATAACAGCTTTATTTGTAATTGCCAAAGCTTAGAAGCAACCAAGATGTCCTTTAATGGGTGAATTAATACTTAAACTGTGGTTCATCCAGGCAATAGAATACTATTCATTGCAAACACAAAATAAGCTATCAAGACATGAAAATATATTACAAAAATTAAATAAATATTACAAAAGTGAAAGAAGCCAGTCTTAAAAGGCTATATATTATATGATTTTCACAATATAACTTTCTGGAAAAGGCAAAACTATGAAGGTAGTAAAAACATCAGTGATTGTGTAATTGCCAGGTGATAGAAGAGAGGGAGGGATAAATAGAGGGATCATAAAGGAATTTTAGGGAAGCGGAACTACTTTGTATGATACTATAATGGTGGATAACTACCATTATACATTTGTCTAAACTCATAGGCTGTCAACATCAAGAGTGATTCCCTAAATGATGAACTTTTATTGGAAATGATGTGCTAATGTAAGCTCATTGATTGTAACAAACGTACCATTTTCCTGAGGATACTGGTAGTGGAGGAGGCTATTCATGTGTGACAGCAGGGCATATATGGAAAATATCTGCACTTTCGGTCTGAGAATTATCTGCACTTTCTGTTCAATTGGTTATAAACCTAAAGCTTCTCTTAAAAAATAAGTGCTTCATCATCCATTAATTCATTGATGGACACGTGGATGTGTTCCATATCTTAACACTTGTGGTATATATACACAATGAAATATTATTCAGCCACAATAAAAGAATAAAATTTTGTAATTTGCAACAATGTGGATGAGCCTAGAGGACATTATGTTAAGTGAAATAAACTGGGCAAAGAAAGACAAATATTGCATGTTCTCACTCATATATGGTAGCTAAAAAAGTTGATCCCATTGAAGTATAGAGTAGAACAGTGGTTACCAGAGCCTGGGAAGAGGAGTGGTGAGGGGGAAATAGGAAGAGGATGGTTAATAGGTACAAAAATTACAGTTAAATAAGGAAGAATAATTTCTAGTATTCTATAATACCATAGGGTGACTATAGTTAACAATAATTTATTGCATATTTCAATATAGCTAGAAGAGAGGATTTTGAATGTTCTCAAAGAGAAATGATCAATGTTTGAGGTGATGAATATTAAAATTACCCTGATGTGATCATTACACATTGTTTGCATGTACTGAAATATCTAATGAACCCCATACATATGTACAATTTTTATGCACCAATTAAAATTTTTAAAAGTATAAAATGCAAAAATAACTGCAAATGTTTTTTAAAAAGTGTTTCATACTCATCATCAGAACTTTAACCATCCCTAAAGATCTGCTTCCAAGATCTCTATAAAACTATTAAACTAAGCACAGTCCAAGAAAACAGCAAACTCTGCAGTGCCATCATGACGAGATATTTTCCATGGTAACTTCTACAGTCAAATATTTTAGTGAAGAAAATGTCACGACTTTCTGATTACCTTCATCTGCTAGTTGCCCACAGAGCTTTAGAAATATCAAAGTTGAAAGACTTCTTATCACACCATTTCTCAAAACGTGTCCAAGAACCCACTTGAGTTAGAATTATCTAGGTTGCATATTTTAAAATAAGCAACTGTGATCTTAACAATAATATTCCGCGAAGCCCCGAAATCTGTCTTTCTAGTAAATTCCCTAAAATTTTTTAATAAAAGGTCTGATAATTACTGGGTCAGAAATTCTCTAATCTGATTTACCTCGCTATTTTTCAAATTTGTTGAGATGTAACATGCAGAAAAGAACACAAATCCATGAATTTTAAGAAAATGAATATATCTCCATACATAGCTGATACAGTACCTATATCAGAACATGAACCAGACTTGAACCCTAGAAATCCCTTTACACTCCCTTCCAGCCACTGCATCCTAGGAAGAATTAACCACTCTGCTGATGTATAATGTCATCAATTTGTTTTGACTATTTTTGAACTCTATATAAGTAAAATAAAGTAATAGGTACTTTGGGAAAACTGACTTATTCTCCTCAATGCTATATTGTATGATTCATTCATACTGTTCTGTTTAGTTGTAGTTTGTGTCTGTTCTTCATTGTGCAATAGTCTACTGCATGGATATACCATATCATTATCCTTTCTATTATACACAGACTAAAAGATTATCCCCGGTTTTTGCCTATTGCAAATAAGGCTGCTATGAACATTTTTATACATGTCTTTGGCACACACAGGTGTGTATTTCTGTTGGGTAATATGACTAGGGATAGAATTACTAAGGCATAAGGCATATCTTTTTGTTCAGCTTTAGTTTTCTGGGTTTTTATATTTCAAAAAGATTGTACAAAGTTAAAGTCCAACCAGTAAGGTATCAGGATCTAGCGGCTCCTCATCCTCCACACCCTCACTTGGTATCATTTGTCTTTTTCATTTTACCCATCGTAATTGGGTATACCAATATCACATTATGATTTTAACTGTATTTCCCTAATGACTAATTAAGCGCTCTTTGTTGTATTAATTGGACATTTTAGTATTCTGTTTTACAAAGTGCCTGTTCAAGCCTTTCAACTATTTTTTTAAATTGGGTTGTCTGCCTTTTTCTTATTGTAGCAGTCATTTATATATTCTGGATTCAAGTCCACTGTTAGATATATGTTATGTAAATACAGTCTCCAATTTTGTATCTTGGATTTTCACTCTCTAAAGTATTGAGTGAACATTTTGAACAGAAATCCTTAATTTTAATGTGTTCAAGTGTATCATTCATCACTTTGTGTGTCTTAATTATTTGTCTACTTTAGGTTCATGAAGACATTCCCCTTATTTTTCCAAAAACTTTAGTGTTTTATCTTTTATATTAAGGTGACCTATTCAAACAGAATTGATTTTATAAAACAATTTTTGTATCATGTGCAGTATATATCTCCCCTTATTTTTATAAAAGAAAAGAAAAAGAAGAAACCTAAAGAGGGCCAAACCTGCCCAAGATTGCCCACCTGGTATGGAAGAGCTTGGTTGTGTTAGAAGTGACTTACTACTACTTTCTGTTTATTCATACGATTATTTTTGCTCTCAGCATTAATTTCTCTAGGCAAAACATCCTCACAAACTTATGGTTATATTTAAGGTTCTACTTCCTGACCGCCATTCTGATCTAAACAACCACTAACTTCCATATTCTTTACATTTAGGGTAAAACAAGGTTGTCAAAAGACGCTCAGCCCCCTAATACATGGGTCATATATGTAGTACCATTTTCTAATATAACTTTATATTATGGTCCAAAAATACTCTGGTTCCACTCTAGTTTTTGTCATTAGTGTATTATCTACAGAGAATAAATAAATTTACCTTTGTTTTCTCATTTGTAAAATGAAGACATAGGATGAGACTAGCCCCACATTGCCTCTCATTTAAAAAAATAAGAAAAACTATGATTTTATTGTTTATTTTATTTTGAAAATAAACTCTCTGTAATTATTGCAATGCATGACACGTTCATTTTCTTCTTCTTCATTCATTGCAAAATAAGAATGACTGGATATTATAAAAACTGAAGAGCATTCTGTGAAAGCAACTCAAAGTATTTAAATTCTTGCAATCTATAAAAAGTATCTTATCTCCTTATTGCAGTATGCCAAAGGACTTTCATTTTAAAATCCAACTCTAGTCTGACACCTTCATTAACCATGCAGATGTGTTGTTTGATGTGTTATTCCTTCCTAAAAATCCCGGTATCCAATCACGCAGGAAAGAAAGATTGAGAGTGAGACCAAAAAAAATGAGTTTTATTAATGATTACTGCTGGTTTGTATACATATCTCAGTTCATATCCTGAAGAATTCTTTTTCACTCCATCCATTTTTATTACAGTCTTGTATTGTGTTACCACCTCATTATCTGTCTGAAAGACTGATTCAAAGTGAGGTTTAACATGCTGAGCACTTGGACAGCAAAGAGCAAGATTTCTTCTTTTTTCTAGCAGGAAATTCCTGGGAGGTCTCTGGCCACTTTCTTTTTATCACTGACAAGTTGGTTTTGATATTTGAGAATGTAGAGATCAATACCAACTTAGCTGTCAAAATGACTTGATAGAAGAAACACTCTAATATTGTGCCAGGAATAATACCTCATATCTTCAAGACCCATGAAATAAACTTTTTGACAATTTTAAAGTGCCCCCATGGGGAGATCCCTTGGTATAACCTCAAGGTATTTAAAGAAAGCATTTTTATCTGGTTCTAGAACAGATGCACTAAAAGCCCTAAAACCCGATCTAGATATTATTGAGGTAGTATTAGGAATCCATGAGATGCTTCCAGTATTTTAAATTGCCTATAGAAAAAAAAATGATATCTTATGGGCAAACAGGCTGCCCATGGCAAATAAAATTACTCATCCCTTTACTATTGGAAATTTTTAACAAATCATTTTCATTGCACTTATTCTCACTCAGGTCAGAAACTATGATTGGAAGATAAATTCTAGTAATAAAAAAAGGGGAAATGAATTAAATATCATTTAACAGACTTAGTTTAAAAGTCAGTCCTCAGTACTCTGTGTCTTTATTGCAGTGGTGGTTACAAATGTCTAGGAATTTGTCAACATAACAACCTGTACACCAAAAAGAGTATATTTTAATCATACATAGATATAAAAATATATGTTAAGTGAATAATTGCAAAACAAAGTAAGGGTGATACAGGGAAGCTTTGGTGTTGGGATATGATCCTGAGAATTTACTTTCATAGATGGAGGACAAAGTGCTTTCTTCCAAGGCAACAAGGTAGGAGGAGAGAGCATTTTGGTTGGGACTCAGAGAGTCAAAGGTCTTGATGGAGAGAAGTACACAGGTATGTTGTGGTCACACTGTCAACAAGATACCTTTGCCCACCATCAGCCCTTGGGGAACCAAGGTAGATCAAATCAGGAGCCAGGAAGCAGAGCTGGACACCTGAAGTGTCAACAGTTGATTCTCTAAGCAAAGAGATAGGGTAAAGTTGGCACAAGACAACAGGGACATCAAAAAGGGGCATGGTCAGGTGGAAGCGGAAGACCTCAGACGCAGAGCCTAGACCTAAACCCACAATCAAAAGATATCAGGGAAGACTTTGCTTTATTCTATTTGTTTTTACCTTTTATTGTTGTTATTTTAAGTTCCGGGGTACATGTGTACAATGTGCAGCTTTGTTACATAAGTAAACGTGTGCCGTGTCCTCAAATTAAGGAGTTCTATCTCCCAGCTTTGCACTAATGGCAGTGTGAGTTTGCTTGTTCTCTCTTGACTTCAGTTTTTTTCATTCATTACACAAATAGGAAGACTGGGGTGGATCATTATCCTGGTCTTTTCTCATTGAGGACATTATGTAAACTCAAAGAACAAGTCTGAATCTCCCTTTTATAAGCATTGTCTCATGTATACGTTATGCCTAAGCATTGCTAAAATACGCATATAAAAGTCTTTGTGATTGAAAAAAAGTATCTCCTCACTTGGTTTGCAGTCTTCAGACTGCTTTAATTTCTCTCTATGAAGCAAACAGAGACGTAAAAAGCCAGGCAGGTTTAACATAGGTCCAGTTGTGATTAGTTTTTGCCCTCCCCTCCATGCCATTTTACTTAATTTTGGAAGTGTCAGGTAAGGTGTATGGACTCAAAAGGGCTTTAAACAGGTCCAACCAGGCTTTGGTAATGCAGTTGTTAGAATTAGGCACTGGTGTGGTCAGCTGCACAAACAGAGTTATATGAAAACCAAGTAACTGGGAAGGAACAAGCCAGTTGGTTAAGTGGCTATTTCTGCTGCCCTCTGCCCCAAAGGCCTTCATATCAGCTATTTCATTCAATCCTATCAGATGCTTTTTGGGGTAGGTAGTGTCAGTGCTATTGTGCAAACTAAGAACTGGGGGCTCAGAGTCTTGAAGTTACTGCTTCAAAATCTATGTCCAGGGAGAGTGGTGCTGCCTCAGAACACAAAGATGAGAATGTAGGGCTCTCCCAGGAAAGCCCATGGACAAGAAATGAGGCTGAATGATTTGAAACAAAGGTCACAATAGCATCCCATGTTCCCAAAAATCACTGAGGGAGCTTGCAAAATATGAAGATTCCAAGGCCCCCATAAGATATTTTGGGGCAATAAGAATGTAATGAGGTCCAGGGTTGTACATTACCTTGTTGCAAGATGTACTATTTGGGATGAGGATGAAGAATCCATTTAGCCAGGTCACAGGTAATAATTGTGTCTCACCGAAGAAAGTGATAAGCTAGTCATTCAGAGTCACAGGGAATGAAAACAGACAAAACTTGGAATAAAATGTCTTCACAATTATACACCTATTAGAATGGCTAAAATAGAAAACGCTGACAACATCAAATGGTGAAGGAATGTGGAGCAAAAGAAACTCTCTTTCACTGCCATTGGGAATGCAAAATATTACATCTACTTTGAAAGATAGTATAACAGTTTTTTTACAAAAGTAAACATACATTTACCATGTAATCAAGCAGTCATGTTTCTAGGTATTTACCCAAATGAGTTGCAAGCTAATAGCCATGCAAAAACCTGTGTAAAAATTTGTATAGTAGCTTTATTTCCAATTGTCAAAATAAAAAAGTAACCAAGATGTCCTACAGTAAGTGAACAAACTGTAGTATAGCCATAAAATGGAATATCACTCAATGATAATAAAAAATGAGCTATCAAGCTACCAAAAGACTTGGAGAAATATTAAATACTATTACTAACTAAAATCAATCTGAAAAGGCTACATGCTGTATAATTTCAACTACATGACATTTGAGAAAAGGCAGAACTTCGGAGACAGTAATAAGATCAGTGCCAGGGCCTTGGGGGTGGAGGAAGGAGGTATGAACAGGTGGAACACAGAGGATTTTTAGGGCAGTGAAATCTATGATACCATGGTGGTAGATACACATCATCCTGTATTTGTCAAAACCCATTGAATATACAACAAAAAGAGTGAACCCCAATGTAAACTACAGATTTAGTTAATAATATTATACAATAATATCGACTCAGCAATTGTAACCAATGCACTATGTCATGCAAGATGTTAATAATAGGGGAAACTGTTGGGGATGGAAGGGACTGAGATGGCATATGGGAATTGTCTGTACTTTCCACTTAATTTTTCTGTAACCCTACTATTGCTCTAAAAAATTAAAGTCTATACATTAGTAAAAATAAACATGAATTGGCTTGGCACAGTGGCTCATGCCTGTAATCCCAGCACTTTGGGAGGCCGAGGAGGGTGGATCACCTGAGGTCGGGAGTTTGAGACCAGCCTGACCAGCATGGAAAAACCCCATCTCTACTAAAAATACAAAATTAGCCGTGCGTGGGGGCACATGCCCGTAATCCCAGCTACTCAGAAGGCTGAGGCAGGAGAATTGCTTGAACCCAGGAGGTGGAGGTTGCGGTAAGCCAAGATTGTGCCATTGCACTCCAACCTGGGCAACAAGAGCAAAACTCTGTCTCAAAAATAATAATAATAATAATAACTAAGATTTTTTTATGAAGTCTCAGGCTTCCTTATAGCATTATCTTAGGCAAAGCCACCCTTCTCATGAAGAGATCCATCCCATGACTGCTGCTGGATTGTGTTGGAGTAGAAGAATGTCTCGAAAGATCTCAAATTGTCAGAGGTCTGAATTGCTTAACACAGTTATGCAAAAATCCCCATGAGTATGGTGACCTCACCAAGGACACTGAGCTTTCTCATTGGTAAGTGGACGTCTGATAAATGTCTCTCTCCAGTGTCCTCCCTCATGCCATGGAATTCCAATAGATCTGTCTGTCATAGAGCCTTTGGCAGCAAAGAAAGGCCATTGACCCAGGCCTGGTCAATCATGTCACTTCATTCCTTCCTTCTGTATGCAACAGAATTGATCTAGGGGCAGACATTGACCCAAGCAAGGCCAATCATAGCTCTTCTATAAGATTTAATACAGAAAGCTGAGAGAAGTGGGAGACAGGGAGAAAAAGGGGAGCAGGAATGAGGGAGAGGAGAAGAAGAGGGAGTTCTCTTCCTGAGATTAAAAAGCTGCAAGAATATTGAAAGCAAGGAGCTACCAACTCCATTTATATTTTTTTTCTACTCATACAGGCATTCTGAATAAACAAAGCTAATAAAAGAGGCAAAGGATGGAGGGGAATAAGAAAGGAAGAAGAGAGGTGTTGGGAACAAAAAAGAAATAAAATGGTTTTATCACACTGAATTTTAAAAATCACGTTAGCCCATAGAGCTCATTTTTGTCTGTTACTGTCTAGATGTGGGTTTCTGTCATCTGCAGTAATTCTAGCAATATAGTGGGTGGTACATATTCCCTGGGTGCATCATTACCCAAACTCTTCCCATGTCTGAGATATCTGCATGGACTGGTGTCTAATTTCATTCCAGCATTCTGCACTCAGAACAGTCACCAACTTCTGTTTCCAGCAAAGTGGAGGAAACCTGCTGAGAAGACAGGTTCAGGAGAAATTTTCAAATTTACAGGTTGAACAAACAAAAGAATGCTGTTACTGCATCAGAAGCAAATCACAGGGATGCTCAGAAAGTCAAAATAGAGAATTCAAATAAAACAATGTAATGAAATTATAGCCTGGCTTAGAAAAGAAGTTAGCCTAGCATTTGGCTGCATATTTTTAAAGGGGCTTTCAAGGGACAGATGTCACTAAATAAAGGGTAATGAGGTAAAGAAGATGCATGGAAGGCAAGCAAAACTAACACAGATCGAAGGCCTGACACTGTTTCCTTTCAAATATACTTTTAAGTTTTATTTTTAAGTTGCTCTGTTTATGGATGTTTTAATCCCTATTTTACATGTGATGGACTGGAGGCTGTGAAAATTTAAATAGCTTCCCTGGCCAATAAGAGTTTCCATCAATAAGATTTGATCTTATTTGTCTGAATTATAGCCAGTGCATTGTTTTTTTTTTTTTTTTTTAGATGGAGTCTCACTCTTGTTGCCCAGGCTGGAGTGCAATGGCATGACCTCTGCTCACCGCAGCCTCCGCCTCCCGGGTTCAAGTGATTCTCCTGCCTCAGCCTCCCGAGTAGCCGGGATTACAGGCATGTGCCACCATGCCCAGATAATTTTGTATTTTTAGTAGAGAAGGGGTTTCTCCATGTTGGTCAGGCTGGTCTCAAACTCCTGACCTCAGCTGATCCTGCTGCCTCGGCCTCCCAAAGTGGTGGGATTATAGGCGTGAGCCACCACACCCAGTCTGCATTCTATACTGTAAAACTGTGGGGTAGTAGGAGATAGTGGGCATCCATTTTCTCTATTAATGGCCTCAATCTCATGAGGTAGACAGAAAGTTCCTGGATATCTTATGTCTTGAACTGTTCCTACCCTTTCTCTCAGTTTGCATCTTCTTTTATAGCCCTGCCTGCAATCAGTAAACATTTCTAAAGATGTTTCCTATGTGTTCAATGTGAGGACACACAAGAAGAAGATACTGAGTGGTCCTCCCTTGAGAAAGGTACAGTGCATTGGAGAAGATGTGGTAAGCAAACAATTGCAGTACAAAATGGCATTTGAAAAAATGGAAGTACATTCAAAGAGCTAGGAAACACAGAGGTAAAAATGACATGCTCTTCCCAGGAATTTGGGATAAAACTTCACAAAACAAATTATAGTTGAGATGGCATGTGAAGGGTTTTGACAGATAGAAAAAAGAAAACCTTTTATGAATTTATAGTGTTAAAAGAATTTCTTTTCTTTCTTTTTTCTTTCTTTCTTTCTTTCTCTTTCTTTCTTTCCTTCCTTTTCTTTTTTTCTTTTTTTGTTAACCTCTCTGTGATGTGAAACTATTGTTTTGTTTGTCCAATATAATGACTGTCTGTTTCTCTCTCTTCTATTTTAATATTAAAATATCTTTAGAAAACCACCCCTCTTCTCTCATTCCATAAATTGTATTTGTGTTTGACCCCAGCCTAGTAAATCAGAGTAGGACATTGATTCATTTAGGGATTTATACATGCCCAAGTTTGACCAACTAAGAATCACACCTATCATTTTTGTATTCATTATTTGTCAGACAGTGAGGACTTTCTCAGGGCTTGCTATCTAGGAGGATATAAGTTTGTAAGGCCCATTGTTCCAATGTGCCAATATACAGGGAGGGTTCACCTAAGAATGAAGTCAATCAGAGAAAACACAAAAGAAAGTTTTGATGACTTTTTAAATATCTGAATCTATCTGTACCAGTAATACATCTATATTCCATAGGTAAACTCACAAATAAAATTCTAACTTGATAGATATGCCTCACTAATATGGTAAGTGCTACTTAAGTAACTTATTTGCATTTTATCTGGGACCTTCTAGAGAGACAGGTTCTCACTCTGTCACCCAGGCTGTAGTGCAGTGGTGCAAGCATGGTTCACTGTAACCTCCAACTCCCAGATTCAAGCAATCCTCCCACTTCAGCCTCCTTAGTAATTGGGACTACAGGCATGCACCACCATGCCCAGATAATTTTTGCATTTTTTGTAGAGAGAGGGTCTCGCCGTGTTTCCCGTGCTGGTCTCAAACTCCTGTGCTTAAGCAATCCGCCCATCTTAGCCTCACAAAATGCTGGGATTACAGGTGTGTGCCACTGAATCTGGCCTAGAGGTACTTCTTATGCATTTTAATGGTAAGATTCTTCAAAAGATAGTAGACATTCAAAAAGTATTGGTTGATCAAATCATCAACCATTTACTGTGGGCCTACTCTGTATGAAATACCCTTAGCCAGAAGCTATAGATAAATAATAGTGAACGCTTCAAGAGGCTCACAATCCAGGGCTGGAGACACACGTAAAGCAATCACTTGTAAGACCACGTAATAAGATAATGCAAAGTGCAGTCATGGTAAAAAGGAAAGAAAAATCATCTTTCTAGATAAGGAGAAAGAAAGATTCCTGGAGGAGAACACATCTCTGCAATAGAAGATGAAACAAGAGGTCAACCAGGTAGGCAAACAGGGTTAATATTTTCCAGAGACAGGATCACCATGTTCTTCAGCCAAGAGACTTAGAAAAAAAAAAAAAAGAAAAAGAAAAAAAGGCCCGGCTCTGTGACTCATGCCTGTAATCCCAGCATTTTGGGAGGCTGAGGCGGGCAGATCACTTGACAAGGTCAGGAGTTCGAGACCAGCCTGGCCAACATGGTGAAACCCCATCTCTACTAAAAAAATGTAAAAATTAGCCAAGCATGGTAATGCATACCTGTAATCCCAGCTACTCAGGAGGTTGAGGCTGGAGAATCACTTTAACCCGGGAGGCGGAGGTTGCAGTGAGCCAAGATCATGTCACTGCATTGCAGCCTGAGTGACAGAGTGAGATTCTGTCTCAAGAAAAAAAAAAAAAAAAAGAGCAAGTTTTTCTGTGCTAGAATAGCAAAATGTCAGCTGGCAAGGTTGGTTTGAAATGCATCTGAGAAGCATGTTGAAGTTAAACGAGAGGGATTTTTTTGTTTGTTTTGAAAAACTCTCACTCTGCCACCCAGGTCTGGAGTGCAGTGGTGGAATCTTGGCTCATTGCAACTTCTGCCTCCCAGGCTCAAGCAATTCTCATGCCTCAGCCTCCCGAGTAGCTGGGATTATAGTGTATGTCGCCATATTCAGCTAATTTTTGTATTTTTAGTTGAGACAGCATTTCGCCATGTAGGCCAGGCTGGTCTCAAACTCCTGACCTCAAGTTATCCACCTGCCTCAGCGTCCCAAAGTGCTGAGATTACAGGCATGAGCCACTGCACCTGGCCCTCAGTGATAGATAAATGTTTATGCTGTGCCGATCAATTTAACTCTGAGAAAAATAGGAAACCAAAAAAAGTTTTTCAAACAAGAACTGAAGTTCTCAGATTTGAATTTGGAAGAGGCATTTGACAGTAAGTAGAGAGGCTTGACAGTGACTGGAGCATAAATAGACTAGACATAGGATATAAACACGAATGTTACTATAACAGACCAAGAGAGAGATGACAAGACAGACATAGGGCACTTGTAATTAGGATGAGAAGAAGAAGGAGAAAGAGGCAAGGGAAGGAAGGAGGAGGTGAGAGAGATGACAGAAGGCTACGTGAAAATAGGGGAAGAAATAATTTTACTCTTTAATTCTCTCCACAAATGCAGCTCAACTTGCCAGAGTCAGGTGGCTCTGGGGGAACTTGAACTAGGTGCACCCAAGTGGCAGACATTTTGGTGTAGGGTTTCAGTGGCAGGCATTGTTTTTGAAGTACCTCATGGGAAGAATCACCTAAATCTTGGGGATGCCTTATCCACTTTAAAAGCAAGTCTTTCCTGAAAGTACTGACCAGCGATAGTTTTTAAGCTGAAATAACATACCCATAATCCATTTATGAGTTCAGACTCCACTGAGGTTTTCAAAAGGCTATTATCATTATCTTCACTCAACATGCATTTGTTATGGGCAAAAGGCTGGGCCAGACTGCCCTTCTAAGCACTTTGCAGGCATTAACCTCGTACAGTTCTCACAATAGCCTATGAGACGGCAGTATAACAGTATACATTTATCTCCATTTTATGAATGAGAAAATTCTGGCTTAGGAGAAGTTCACGTTCAGGTAGGTTTTTTGTTTGTTAGTTTTCATGTACTAAATTCACCTTGTATAGACACATTAGTAATTTTGAAGAAAAAAAGGTGCTGAATATGTTTCCACTTCTTTATAGAATATTTGGAACCAGATTATAAGGATTAAATAATATTCAGTCAAATTGATGGATCATCACTTATTTTGGGGGCATTTAAGTCACTTCCACATTTTTTCTGGTATTGTAAACTATGCTATTATAAATACCCTTATTATAAAAGGGTGGATATCTGGTTATCCCCTGCAATGAATTCCTAGATATAGTTATAGTACTATGAACATGTCTTAGTCATAACACCTTTTTCCAAATTTTGAGAAAAGTTCCTAAAAACAATGCGGCAACTCAGTGATATTGTGGACAATCATAATTTTAAAACAAGGTTTGGAGGAAAAGTTACTTGCTTAATGAAGAAAGAGCTGGTAATGCAGTCAGTTACATTTCATACTGATTCAATTGGCCTTTTCTCCTCCTCATCACCAAATCATAATGCTTCCTTAGAAGAGTGAATCCTATTTCAATAAACAGAATTGTCCAGGTCTATAAATCAATGAGAGCTAAACTCTATTTTTTCTTAAATTATGAACCCCTATTTATTTTAAATTATTTTGTGCATTAATACATCTTTAGGTAAGGTAAATCATTTTTAGCAAGAAAATCATACAGCAATGGAAACATTCGCAAAATCTTTTCTCCATAGCATGTTTCTTTCAAAAAGAAGTTATTTTTATTTCTTCATGAATTAATAACTATATACTTAGGATAAGGTTTATTATGGATGTAGGAAATGAAAATATGTCTTTAAAGTGGCTTTCTTCCATTATCATCTCAAGTTTTTTTTATAGTTAATTGGCATTTTTTTCTTCATTGCCAGGATTTTCAGTTTATTCTATAATTATTTGTTCTCAATTCACCTTAAATTCTTTTAATAAGCTTTTTATTTTTGAAATAATTTTAAGTTTATGAAAAAGTTTAAAAGATAGCGTAGACTGTTCCTGTATAGCCATCACCCAGTTCCCATTAATGTTAAATACTTATGTAACCATTTGTTGAAACTATGAAATTAACATCCATGCAATACTACTCACTAAACTATAAATTTTATTTGGATTTCACTAGTTTTTCCACCAATGCCCTTTTTCTGTTCCGGAATCCAATTCAGAGTACTACATTGCAATTAGTCCATTTTGGAGTTTATCTAATTCATTATAATTCAGCCTAGGTGGTTGTTACGTTAACTTGAATTGTGGCTGATGAAGGCTCATACTCAGAAAGAGCAGTTTCTTTTCTTGTCTACGGCTCCATTTTGCATGTCTTATTAGTATTACTTTCGATCCATATTCTCTTTCCATGTATTTATAAAATTCACTTCTTTTTAAATTAGTTAATTTAATCAAACTCACATTATATAATCCATAAATTCACTTAACTGAGCAGCTCTAAACATCAGGACTTCACAGCAAAAGCAGTAGAATGATTGTTAAACTAGTGAGCTAGGGAACTTTCGCCTTTTTCGAGGATGCATCAAAGATTGTTCAAGATCTGCAACTCACTTAAACATGGATAGACTAATGGTGCCAGTTTCAATTAATGACTAAACATCAGAAAAAAAACATATTTTTGGATAAATGGATGTAAATTCCATGTATATCCATGAATATAAATATAGGTTCCAGCATGTCCAGCCCATATCCCCGTAGATTTGCTTGTGTACCCACTGGAAGGAGCTTGACCCGCTAGAAGACTTCCCTATTCCTGCAAGGCTTTCATGATGTTGGAGGGAAGTAGTAGTGCACACTGGGGCTGGACTGTTGTGCTCTCACCCCATAGCTTTTCTTTCTAGTCCTCATCACTCAGGAATGTATCCTTATTAAACCAGGCTCAGAAGCTCAATGTGTCTACTCTGAGTCACTGAAAATGCTCCTGAAATATGACATCTTCAGTGTTAGGGAGAGCAGGACTCTGTTGTTTGGGATTTAAACTTTCAGCAGGATCACAGAGCGTCTGTTATTTCAAGTTGGACTTGATTATTTTTTTTTAAACTGCCAGACTTTCAGACCATACAATACCAGCTTTCTTCAAATGTAACTCTTCCATTCCTTTTATGGTGAAGTTTAATACTGTGAACATATGGAGGGTCTGAACGTCTGCCAAATGTTTTAAAAGACAAGGTTATAAATACCCCAGCAGCGAGCTTTGTTCCTTAATGTATGGCTCTGTTACTCTGAGTCAACGTGGAAGATAAATCAGAACATAGAGCTGGCTTGGGCATTAACTTGATATTTCTGGCAAGAATTCATATAGTATCTCATTTCAGAGAGCAAAAGAGAAGTGGTTGTCTGAGGTAACATTAAGACAGTAAAAAAAATTAGCTTTTATAAAAAGCAAAAAGCAGAATTATAGCTTAACTAAAACATCTTAAATCCAAATACTCAGTCCAATTTTCTTACCATCAAATTTAAGCTTAAAGAGTCATAATCATGTCTGTGGGGTTGGTGATTACAATCTCTGGTCCCTGTACTCTAGATTTGGAATAGATACCTCTCAATTTCCTTGGTAGTACATTTCTCTGTCCCACCCCAGCTTGGTTTTTCTCTATTTCCCAGTACCCTATTCTCAAATGTTCCTCCACCCAAAACTGGGCTTGTCCCTGTTTGACTCAGTTCAGGGCCCACTTCTATCATCTCTCTGACTCTGCTGTTTCTCTGTAAATAGGAATTTGCTGAACTGCCCTCCACTCCCCAGCTTTTGACACAGCTGGTCCCATTTGTCACTGGGCTGACAGCTGAAAGGAACCCTTTCCAT
Organism: Homo sapiens; assembly: GCF_000001405.40. Taxonomy (NCBI): domain Eukaryota; kingdom Metazoa; phylum Chordata; class Mammalia; order Primates; family Hominidae; genus Homo; species Homo sapiens. Next base: position 64,865,325 of record NC_000016.10, read on the forward strand.
TTCTGCAACACAAGATGCACCATGCCTAACACTACTTTGAAAGGCGGCCTCTTGGGTGCATAAATTGCAGCATGGTATAAGAAAAGCCCTTTGCATGAACTTTCCAGGTCACTCGGATAATGTTCAATAATTCATGTCTTTCTCATAGTAAGTGCACTTAGTATCCCAAATGGTTTAATGTAGCTTCCAAAGAGTCCAGGAACTGC